>NC_000001.11:247547757-247699273 GCF_000001405.40 Homo sapiens | reverse complement strand
TTGTTGAATTTATGAGCATAAAGTTGGTTGTATTGTCTTTTCAATAGCTGAAGGATCAGTAGTGATAGGCCCAATTGGCATGGGAGAGGAGTATCAGGTTTCTGGAGAAAAGAGGTTTCCTTGACCTCTCACTGTGCCTATTTTGGGATAATCATATTTGCTGGTGGTCTTTGGCTACTTTGGGGTCTCCCATGGCAGGGGTCCCCAATCCCCTGGCCACAGACGATTATGGTTCCTGATCTCGCCTCTTGTCAGATCAGCGATGGCGTGAGATTCTCATAGGAGTGTGAGCCCTACTGTGAACTGTGCATGCGAGGGATCTAGATTGTGCACTCCAGTGAGAATCTAATGCCTGATAATCTGTCACTGTCTCCCATCATGCCCAGATGGGACTGTCTGGTTGCAGGAAAACAAGCTCAGGGCTCCCACTGATTCTACATCATGGTGAGTTGTAAATAAATAAATAAATATATATATATATATATATATATATATATATATATATATATATATAATAGAAATAAAGTGCACAATAAATGTAATGCACTTGAATCCTCCCTTAACCTCCTCCACCTGTGGAAAAATTGTCTTCCCCAAAACTGGTCCCTGGTGCCAAAAAGGTTAAGGACTGCTGTTCTAGGGGCTGGGGGATAGAGACTTTCCAGAAATATTACTCCTTTTGGTAGAGTCCCTCTTGCTGGCTCTGCTCAGCAGTAGGGTTAGCAGGTTTAGATGGATTGGAGGGTCTCAGGCCTGACAAGAGTGTAGAGTGCTTCCCTTGCCTTCTAATTGTTAGTGAGATCATTTTGCTCTTGCTCTTATAGTAATGCAGTATGGTTTGACCTGTGGGAGGGTAAGCCTAGCTGGTCTGTGTTTGTTGGTATGTTGGGAATTTAAAAAGATTGGGTCTGTTTCTCCTTCTTGAGTCAAGTGGGGGACTAGGATACCCCATCACTGTGTTGTTCATCCAGTTTTGGGTTCCCAAACTAGGTTGCATTCTTCCTACCACATTTAAACGTTCCTCTGTGGTTTCACTTTTATAGTTGTCCAGGTTTTATATTTGTGCTTAGTAGAGTGGAGTGAGAAGAAATGGTCCATACTGTTCTAGTCCTTGCCTTGTCTATCTGGTATCTTTCAGGATGTTTTATGGTTTTCTTCACATGGATTCAGATCAATTTTTGGTAAGTTGGGTTTTAACTATTCATTACATTTTATGGCTACCATTTGTTATATGAATGCTACTGACTTTTGCATCTTAACTTTATATCCTGCTACCATGTTGAATTATTTTATTGTTGATATTCATTTTATCATTGATTATGGTTTTTCATGTATAATATCATGTATTTTTCTAACAGGGTACACACAGGGAAGCCTGCCACCTAACAGCAAGAATTCCTGTTATACGGAGTCATGGGCTTTTCACAGCTCATGTGCTCTGTATTTATTCTAGTTGTCATTTGCAGCATCTTCACAGCCCTCAAATAGAGAGTGAACAATTCCTATGTGTACATCCTCCCATGGGAGAGGACCATAGTCAATGAATTCTTGATCTGGAGGCCACATTTGTATGGAAAGAGGAGGTGCCCTAGCAGGACACTTGGGGACTGGGTGGAAGGGGGCTGACAAGAAGTGACCCCGCTGATTGACTACACAGGTAAACCCAATTACAGAATGAAGACTCTTCATAGGAATCTTGAACAAAGGCTAGAAGAGCTGTCTGTCAAGGATCCAAGAACAGGCAAGGCCTGCTCCCTCACATCTCCCTTGTCCTCCACCTTCCCTCACGCCTTGGTTGATTTGATAGCCAGGTTATAAGGGAGATAGAGTTGCAGCCTGCAGAATGTACTTTGAATCAATGTCTCCTGCTTGGTAGCACACCATTTCTCTCCCAGAGTATGAAAGAAGCCACAAAGACCAGGTGTTAAGCAACTCTGGAGGTCAGAAAGCCTATGTATGGCCTACGTTCTGCCTGCCCTGCTGTCACTGTTGGGATGTCTAAGTTCATTTATCTTTATCCTCTCTTTTGAAGTCCTTTCTTCTGAGACTGATTTTAGGTTAATTATGGGATACAGGCTTCTATGAGGCTTGTTTCCTCTCTCCACACCCATCTTCCACTAAAAATTAGGAGATCTTTGGTTTTCCAGAGAAGCTCTGAGGATGGGTAAAGCCAGACTGCCAAAAGGAGCCCTTGCATTTGATGCTGTGCTGCGGTCCACAGCTTCTTTTTAGGCTCATGTGGGTGGTCTTTCCCTATCAGAAGAAAGAACACATCTGTTTCCCTGACATACACGGGGCCCTTGTTACCAACTTTCCCTCTTGAGCCTTCTGAGGTACCTCCTTCTTGTAACCAAGACATTCTCATTGATCTCCCTTTTCAGCAGCCCTCAAAACAGCAAATCCTAGCATTGAGGGATTTCTACATTCTCAAATCTCCTTTCTAACTCATCTGCCTTGTACTGAATCCAGGATCCTTGATTGAGGATCAAAAACATAGCATGTCCATGCAGTTCAGGATAATAGCAAACTGCTCTGAGATTGAGTCTCATTGGATAGAGGATACCACTTGGCAAATAAAAATACTCACCATTCAGCTAGCCCAGAGTTATTCAGCCTTAATTAACCTTGCCCAGAACCTTAGGACTTATTACTACAAATTGGGCCAATTTGATCTAAACCAATTCATCAAAATCTATTCATGACTAATTTACTGAATGACCAAATTCACAGCAAACTAATTGCTCAAAAGGTGAATTTACTAATTTATTTATTTATTTTAAAAGCCTCACTTACAGAAACAGTTAACTGAAAAATCAACTTCATGAGGTCAAATCAAAAAAAAATAATTTGCCAAATGACAAGTCAGCCAACATTTCAACTTAAAAAAATTGTATTGTCCTTCCATCATGCTCATGGGTAGGAAGAATCAATATCGTGAAAATGGCCATACTGCCCAAGGTAATTTATAGATTCAATGCCATCCCCATCAAGCTACCAATGACTTTCTTCACAGAATTGGAAAAAACTACTTTAAAGTTCATATGGAACCAAAAAAGAGCCTGCATCGCCAAGTCAATCCTAAGCAAAAAGAACAAAGCTGGAGGCATCACACTACCTGACTTCAAACTATATTACAAGGCTACAGTAACCAAAACAGCATGGTACTGGTACCAAAACAGAGATATAGATCAATGGAACAGAACAGAGCCCTCAGAAATAACACCGCATATCTACAACTATCTGATCTTTGACAAACCTGAGAAAAAGAAGAAATGGGGAAAGGATTCCCTATTTAATAAATGGCGCTGGGAAAACTGGCTAGCCATATGTAGAAAGCTGAAACTGGATCCCTTCCTTACACCTTATACAAAAATCAATTCAAGATGGATTAAAGACTTAAATGTTAGACCTGAAACCATAAAAACCCTAGAAGAAAACCTAGGCATTACCATTCAGGACATAGGCATGGGCAAGGACTTCATGTCTAAAACACCAAAAGCAATGGCAACAGAAGACAAAATTGACAAATGGGATCTAATTAAACTAAAGAGCTTCTGCACAGCAAAAGAAACTACCATCAGAGTGAACAGGCAACCTACAAAATGGGAGAAAATTTTCGCAACCTACTCATCTGACAAAGGGCTAATAACCAGAATCTACAATGAACTCAAACAAATTTATAAGAAAAAAACAAACAACCCCATCAAAAAGTGGGCAAAGGACATGAACAGACACTTCTCAAAAGAAGACATTTATGCAGCCAAAAAACACATGAAAAAATGATCACCATCACTGGCTATCAGAGAAATGCAAATCAAAACCACAATGGGATACAATCTCACACCAGTTAGAATGGCAATCATTAAAACGTCAGGAAACAACAGGTGCTGGAGAGGATGTGGAGAAATAGGAACACTTTTACACTGTTGGTGGGACTGTAAACTAGTTCAACCATTGTGGAAGTCAGTGTGGCGATTCCTCAGGGATCTAGAACTAGAAATACCATTTGACCCAGCCATCCCATTACTGGGTATATACCCAAAGGACTATAAATCATGCTGCTATAAAGACACATGCACACGTATGTTTATTGCGGCACTATTCACAATAGCAAAGACTTGGAACCAACCCAAATGTCCAAAAATGACAGGCTGGATTAAGAAAATGTGGCACACATACACCATGGAATACTATGCAGCCATAAAAAATGAGTTCATGTCCTTTGTAGGGACATGGATGAAACTGGAAATCATGATTCTCAGTGAACTATTGCAAGAACAAAAAACCAAACACCACATATTCTCACTCATAGGTGGGAACTGAACAATGAGAACACATGGACACAGGAAGGGGAACATCACACTCTGGGGACTGTTGTGGGGTTGGGGGGAGGTGGGAGGGATAGCTTTAGGAGATATACCTAATGCTAAATGACGAGTTAATGGGTGCAGCACACCAGCATGGCACATGTATACATATGTAACTAACCTGCACATTGTGCACATGTACCCTAAAACTTAAAGTATAATAATAATTAAAAAAAATTGTATTGTCATCAAATATCCTTAAGGTTTATAGAAAATTATACTGCATGAGATTGGTTTAACAGTTTTTGATGGTTTATTGAAATATGCTACTTCAGATTTAGGGCTTATGTTATTTTTTGTTTTAGTTTATTCTGCTATTTTGTACATTTTACTTTAGTTTTAGTTTCACCGTAGCAATTTTGCCAGACATGGGCATGTGAGTTGAATGTGAGTTTTGTACTTGCCCAGACATGGGCAGGTGAGTTGAATGTGAAGTTTGTACTTGATCCAGACTTCAGACACTAAAGTCTTTTCAAAAATAAATATTTTCATGTAAAGATGTTCAGGTGAGTCAGTTAACAATTTTTTTGTGATAACAAAAGCAATGGACTTTTTGAAGTTTTGTTTTAAAATGAAAACTTGCCTCATCAATGATGTTTGAGACATGCAATTATAATAAGCAGAATAATGAGCTCTCAAAGATGTCTAAGTTCTAATCCCTAGAACATGTAAATACGTCAGGTTACATGGGGAAATAGAATTAAGGTTTCAGATGGAATTAACTTCACTTATCAGCTGATCTAAAAATAGGGAGATTATTCTGGATGATTCAGGTGGGCTTGATGTAATCACAACATTCATTAAAAGTAGAAGAGGGAGGCACATGTAAGAGAACGAGAAAGATGGCAGGGCAGGAAGGAGTTAGTACAACGATCCTAGCTCTCACATGAAGGAAGCTGATAATAGCCAAGGAAAATGAATGGCCTCTAGAAACCAAAAAAGGCAAGAAAATCAATTCTACACTACAGCCTCCAGAAGGAAATATAATTCTGCTGATGGCTTAAATTTAACCCAGTGAAACCAATCTTGGACTTCTAAACTATATAAATGTATGTTAATAAATTTGTTTCATTGTTATTTTAAGCCACTAAATTAATTGTAATCTTAACATAATATTGAATTTAGTTTGTCATATAGATCCCAAATATTCTTTTCCAATATTTTTATATTTTATATTGTATTTCTTTACAATAATTTCAATAATAAATTTGAATTTTTTGTTAGTCATGTTTTATTGTATTTGCTTTTGTGTTCAGACAAGAATGTAAATCCTTAGATTGAAGTGATAATTCTTAAAAATTCTGATAGCTTCTGTAGTTTTATTTATTTTACTATTTGAAATCATATTTGTTTTGTAATTAATTTTGGTTTAGAGAATGTGGTTTTGAGCTGAGTTATTGTGTCCCAAAGGACTAATTAATTACTCCACAATTTCTTTCTAGATAATTTACTTCTTTACTGATTTTAAATGCAAAAATTATTAAATACCAAAACATTATGTATGCTAGAGTCTATTTCCAAGCTTAAGTTTTTGTTTTATTTCATTTTATTTTTTCCCTCACTAGTAACAACATTTTTATAACTGCACATTTAAACTGTATTTTAACACTATTACACAGTGCAACACATCCGTTCTTTATAAATGAATATCATCAAGATTTTTCCTCATTGTTTTAATATGATCTTTCTTTTCTTTTTTTTTTTTTTTTTTTTTTATTATACTCTCAGTTTTAGGGTACATGTGCACATTGTGCAGGTTAGTTACATATGTATACATGTGCCATGCTGGTGCGCTGCACCCACTAATGTGTCATCTAGCATTAGGTATATCTCCCAATGCTATCCCTCCCCCCTCCCCCGACCCCACCACAGTCCCCAGAGTGTGATATTCCCCTTCCTGTGTCCATGTGATCTCATTGTTCAATTCCCACCTATGAGTGAGAATATGCGGTGTTTGGTTTTTTGTTCTTGCGATAGTTTACTGAGAATGATGGTTTCCAATTTCATCCATGTCCCTACAAAGGATATGAACTCATCATTTTTTATGGCTGCATAGTATTCCATGGTGTATATGTGCCACATTTTCTTAATCCAGACTATCATTGTTGGACATTTGGGTTGGTTCCAAGTCTTTGCTATTGTGAATAGTGCCGCAATAAACATACGTGTGCATGTGTCTTTATAGCAGCATGATTTATAGTCCTTTGGGTATATACCCAGTAATGGGATGGCTGGGTCAAATGGTATTTCTAGTTCTAGATCCCTGAGGAATCGCCACACTGACTTCCACAATGGTTGAACTAGTTTACAGTCCCACCAACAGTGTAAAAGTGTTCCTATTTCTCCACATCCTCTCCAGCACCTGTTGTTTCCTGACTTTTTAATGATTGCCATTCTAACTGGTGTGAGATGATATCTCATAGTGGTTTTGATTTGCATTTCTCTGATGGCCAGTGATGATGAGCATTTTTTCATGTGTTTTTTGGCTGCATAAATGTCTTCTTTTGAGAAGTGTCTGTTCATGTCCTTCGCCCACTTTTTGATGGGGTTGTTTGTTTTTTTCTTGTAAATTTGTTTGAGTTCATTGTAGATTCTGGATATTAGCCCTTTGTCAGATGAGTAGGTTGCAAAAATTTTCTCCCATGTTGTAGGTTGCCTGTTCACTCTGATGGTAGTTTCTTTTGCTGTGCAGAAGCTCTTTAGTTTAATTAGATCCCATTTGTCAATTTTGGTTTTTGTTGCCATTGCTTTTGGTGTTTTGGACATGAAGTCCTTGCCCACGCCTATGTCCTGAATGGTAATGCCTAGGTTTTCTTCTAGGGTTTTTATGGTTTTAGGTCTAACATTTAAGTCTTTAATCCATCTTGAATTGATTTTTGTATAAGGTGTAAGGAAGGGATCCAGTTTCAGCTTTCTACATATGGCTAGCCAGTTTTCCCAGCACCATTTATTAAATAGGGAATCCTTTCCCCATTGCTTGTTTTTCTCAGGTTTGTCAAAGATCAGATAGTTGTAGATATGCGGCATTATTTCTGAGGGCTCTGTTCTGTTCCATTGATCTATATCTCTGTTTTGGTACCAGTACCATGCTGTTTTGGTTACTGTAGCCTTGTAGTATAGTTTGAAGTCAGGTAGTGTGATGCCTCCAGCTTTGTTCTTTTGGCTTAGGATTGACTTGGCAATGCGGGCTCTTTTTTGGTTCCATATGAACTTTAAAGTAGTTTTTTCCAATTCTGTGAAGAAAGTCATTGGTAACTTGATGGGGATGGCATTGAATCTGTAAATTACCTTGGGCAGTATGGCCATTTTCACGATATTGATTCTTCCTACCCATGAGCATGGAATGTTCTTCCATTTGTTTGTGTCCTCTTTTATTTCCTTGAGCAGTGGTTTGTAGTTCTCCTTGAAGAGGTCCTTCACATCCCTTGTAAGTTGGATTCCTAAGTATTTTATTCTCTTTGAAGCAATTGTGAATGGGAGTTCACCCATGATTTGGCTCTCTGTTTGTCTGTTGTTGGTGTATAAGAATGCTTGTGATTTTTGTACATTGATTTTGTATCCTGAGACTTTGCTGAAGTTGCTTATCAGCTTAAGGAGATTTTGGGCTGAGATGATGGGGTTTTCTAGATAAACAATCATGTCGTCTGCAAACAGGGACAATTTGACTTCCTCTTTTCCTAATTGAATACCCTTTATTTCCTTCTCCTGCCTGATTGCCCTGGCCAGAACTTCCAACACTATGTTGAATAGGAGCGGTGAGAGAGGGCATCCCTGTCTTGTGCCAGTTTTCAAAGGGAATGCTTCCAGTTTTTGCCCATTCAGTATGATATTGGCTGTGGGTTTGTCATAGATAGCTCTTATTATTTTGAAATACGTCCCATCAATACCTAATTTATTGAGAGTTTTTAGCATGAAGAGTTGTTGAATTTTGTCAAAGGCTTTTTCTGCATCTATTGAGATAATCATGTGGTTTTTGTCTTTGGCTCTGTTTATATGCTGGATTACATTTATTGACTTGCGTATATTGAACCAGCCTTGCATCCCAGGGATGAAGCCCACTTGATCATGGTGGATAAGCTTTTTGATGTGCTGCTGGATTCGGTTTGCCAGTATTTTATTGAGGATTTTTGCATCAATGTTCATCAAGGATATTGGTCTAAAATTCTCTTTTTTGGTTGTGTCTCTGCCCGGCTTTGGTATCAGAATGATGCTGGCCTCATAAAATGAGTTAGGGAGGATTCCCTCTTTTTCTATTGATTGGAATAGTTTCAGAAGGAATGGTACCAGTTCCTCCTTGTACCTCTGGTAGAATTCGGCTGTGAATCCATCTGGTCCTGGACTCTTTTTGGTTGGTAAACTATTGATTATTGCCACAATTTCAGAGCCTGTTATTGGTCTATTCAGAGATTCAACTTCTTCCTGGTTTAGTCTTGGGAGAGTGTATGTGTCGAGGAATGTATCCATTTCTTCTAGATTTTCTAGTTTATTTGCGTAGAGGTGTTTGTAGTATTCTCTGATGGTAGTTTGTATTTCTGTGGGATCGGTGGTGATATCCCCTTTATCATTTTTTATTGTGTCTATTTGATTCTTCTCTCTTTTTTTCTTTATTAGTCTTGCTAGCGGTCTATCAATTTTGTTGATCCTTTCAAAAAACCAGCTCCTGGATTCATTGATTTTTTGAAGGGTTTTTTGTGTCTCTATTTCCTTCAGTTCTGCTCTGATTTTAGTTATTTCTTGCCTTCTGCTAGCTTTTGAATGTGTTTGCTCTTGCTTTTCTAGTTCTTTTAATTGTGATGTTAGGGTGTCAATTTTGGATCTTTCCTGCTTTCTCTTGTAGGCATTTAGTGCTATAAATTTCCCTCTACACACTGCTTTGAATGCGTCCCAGAGATTCTGGTATGTGGTGTCTTTGTTCTCGTTGGTTTCAAAGAACATCTTTATTTCTGCCTTCATTTCGTTATGTACCCAGTAGTCATTCAGGAGCAGGTTGTTCAGTTTCCATGTAGTTGAGCGGCTTTGAGTGAGATTCTTAATCCTGAGTTCTAGTTTGATTGCACTGTGGTCTGAGAGATAGTTTGTTATAATTTCTGTTCTTTTACATTTGCTGAGGAGAGCTTTACTTCCAACTATGTGGTCAATTTTGGAATAGGTGTGGTGTGGTGCTGAAAAAAATGTATATTCTGTTGATTTGGGGTGGAGAGTTCTGTAGATGTCTATTAGGTCTGCTTGGTGCAGAGCTGAGTTCAATTCCTGGGTATCCTTGTTGACTTTCTGTCTCGTTGATCTGTCTAATGTTGACAGTGGGGTGTTAAAGTCTCCCATTATTAATGTGTGGGAGTCTAAGTCTCTTTGTAGGTCACTGAGGACTTGCTTTATGAATCTGGGTGCTCCTGTATTGGGTGCATAAATATTTAGGATAGTTAGCTCCTCTTGTTGAATTGATCCCTTTACCATTATGTAATGGCCTTCTTTGTCTCTTTTGATCTTCGTTGGTTTGAAGTCTGTTTTATCAGAGACTAGGATTGCAACCCCTGCCTTTTTTTGTTTTCCATTTGCTTGGTAGATCTTCCTCCATCCTTTTATTTTGAGCCTATGTGTGTCTCTGCACGTGAGATGGGTTTCCTGAATACAGCACACTGATGGGTCTTGACTCTTTATCCAACTTGCCAGTCTGTGTCTTTTAATTGCAGAATTTAGTCCATTTATATTTAAAGTTAATATTGTTATGTGTGAATTTGATCCTGTCATTATGATGTTAGCTGGTGATTTTGCTCATTAGTTGATGCAGTTTCTTCCTAGTCTCGATGGTCTTTACATTTTGGCATGATTTTGCAGCGGCTGGTACCGGTTGTTCCTTTCCATGTTTAGTGATTCCTTCAGGAGCTCTTTTAGGGCAGGCCTGGTGGTGACAAAATCTCTCAGCATTTGCTTGTCTATAAAGTATTTTATTTCTCCTTCACTTATGAAGCTTAGTTTGGCTGGATATGAAATTCTGGGTTGAAAATTCTTTTCTTTAAGAATGTTGAATATTGGCCCCCACTCTCTTCTGGCTTGTAGGGTTTCTGCCGAGAGATCCGCTGTTAGTCTGATGGGCTTTCCTTTGAGGGTAACCCGACCTTTCTCTCTGGCTGCCCTTAACATTTTTTCCTTCATTTCAACTTTGGTGAATCTGACAATTATGTGTCTTGCAGTTGCTCTTCTCGAGGAGTATCTTTGTGGCGTTCTCTGTATTTCCTGAATCTGAACGTTGGCCTGCCTTGCTAGATTGGGGAAGTTCTCCTGGATAATATCCTGCAGAGTGTTTTCCAACTTGGTTCCATTCTCCACATCACTTTCAGGTACACCAATCAGACGTAGATTTGGTCTTTTCACATAGTCCCATATTTCTTGGAGGCTTTGCTCATTTCTTTTTATTCTTTTTTCTCTAACCTTCCCTTCTCGCTTCATTTCATTCATTTCATCTTCCATTGCTGATACCCTTTCTTCCAGTTGATCGCATCGGCTCCTGAGGCTTCTGCATTCTTCACGTAGTTCTCGAGCCTTGGTTTTCAGCTCCATCAGCTCCTTTAAGCACTTCTCTGTATTGGTTATTCTAGTTATACATTCTTCTAAATTTTTTTCAAAGTTTTCAACTTCTTTGCCTTTGGTTTGAATGTCCTCCCGTAGCTCAGAGTAATTTGATCGTCTGAAGCCTTCTTCTCTCAGCTCGTCAAAATCATTCTCCATCCAGCTTTGTTCTGTTGCTAGTGAGGAACTGCGTTCCTTTGGAGGAGGAGAGGCGCTCTGCATTTTAGAGTTTCCAGTTTTTCTGTTCTGTTTTTTCCCCATCTTTGTGGTTTTATCTACTTTTGGTCTTTGATGATGGTGATGTACAGATGGGTTTTCGGTGTAGATGTCCTTTCTGGTTGTTAGTTTTCCTTCTAACAGACAGGACCCTCAGCTGCAGGTCTGTTGGAATACCCTGCCGTGTGAGGTGTCAGTGTGCCCCTGCTGGGGGGTGCCTCCCAGTTAGGCTGCTCGGGGGTCAGGGGTCAGGGACCCACTTGAGGAGGCAGTCTGCCCGTTCTCAGATCTCCAGCTGCGTGCTGGGAGAACCACTGCTCTCTTCAAAGCTGTCAGACAGGGACACTTAAGTCTGCAGAGGTTACTGCTGTCTTTTTGTTTGTCTGTGCCCTGCCCCCAGAGGTGGAGCCTACAGAGGCAGGCAGGCCTCCTTGAGCTGTGGTGGGCTCCACCCAGTTCGAGCTTCCCGGCTGCTTTGTTTACCTAAGCAAGCCTGGGCAATGGCGGGCGCCCCTCCCCCAGCCTCGTTGCCGCCTTGCAGTTTGATCTCAGACTGCTGTGCTAGCAATCAGCGAGATTCCGTGGGCGTAGGACCCTCTGAGCCAGGTGTGGGATATAGTCTCGTGGTGCGCCGTTTCTTAAGCCAGTCTGAAAAGCGCAATATTCGGGTGGGAGTGACCCGATTTTCCAGGTACGTCCGTCACCCCTTTCTTTGACTCGGAAAGGGAACTCCCTGACCCCTTGCACTTCCCAGGTGAGGCAATGCCTCGCCCTGCTTCGGCTTGCGCACGGTGCGCACACACACTGGCCTGCGCCCACTGTCTGGCACTCCCTATTGAGATGAACCCGGTACCTCAGATGGAAATGCAGAAATCACCCGTCTTCTGCGTCGCTCACGCTGGGAGCTGTAGACCGGAGCTGTTCCTATTCGGCCATCTTGGCTCCTCCTCGATCTTTCTTTTCATTTTTTAACTTTTGCAGTATCTTTATCAAAGTATAACTGTAACTGTACATATTTATAGGGTTCATATTGGCACTGTGATACATGCATACAATGTGTGATTATCAAATCAGGGTAATTAGAATATCCATCACCTCAAAGATTGATCATTTCCCTTGTTGGAAACATTTAAATCTTCACTTCTAGCTATTTTGAAATATACAATTAATTTTTGCTAACTACAGTCACCATACTGTGCTACAAACAGTAGAATATATTCTATCTAACTGTATTTTTGTACCCAGTAAGCAACTTCTCTTCACCTCTCCTCCCTTCCCACCTTCTGGTAAAATATTAATATTATCAGATCTGCAAATATTAGTACATATAAAGAAATAGATAAACTGCCATATAATAAGAGCAGGGGACTTCTCTACTCCCTTTTAACAATGGATACATTATCCACCAAGAAAATCAATAAGAAAACATTGGACATGAACTACAATTTAGATTAAATTATAACACACTTATACAGAATGTATATTATGTATTCAATAGCAGAAGAATACACATTATTCTCAAGCACACATGAAACCCTTTACAGGACATATCATGTGTTTAGCCACAACACAAGCCTTAGCATTTTAAAAGACTGAAATACTATCAAGCATTTCTCATGAGTACACAATATAAAACTAGAAATCAGGAAGAGAATAAATATCAGAAAATTCACAAATATATGGAAATTCAACACCATGTTTTGAAACAACCAGCGGTTCAAATAGAAAATAAAAGGGATATTAAAAATATCTTGAGACAAACAAAATGAGTATACAAGATACCAAAATGTATGGGATTTAAAAATGCAGTAATAAGACAAAAGTTTATAGCAAAAAAAAAGCCTACATCTAAAAAGAAAGAGGCTCCCAAATAAAAAAAGACATAAAATTACACTTCAAAGAACTGGAAAAAATAACACATTAGGCCTAGAGTTAGAGAAAAAAAAGAGAGAGAGAGAGAGAAATAAGATTCAGAGCAGATTTAAATAAAAGAGACAAAAAATGGAAAAGAGCAACAAAATTAAGAGTTATTGTTTTTAAAAGATAAACAAATTGACAAACAGCCTCATGAAAGACTCAAATAAAATAGAAATAAAAATGAGACATAGAAATAGAAATGAGACATTACTACTGATACCAGAGAAATACAGAGGACATAAGAGACACTTACGAACAAGAAAACACCAACAAATTGGATAAGCTAGGAGAAATGAAGAAATTCCTAGATACGTAAAATCTACCAGAACTAAACTGCACTCTAGACCAAATGGACCTAGCAGATGTTTACAGAACATTCCATCCAACAGCTGCAGAATACACATGCTTCTCAATTGCACATGGAACATTCCCTAGAATAGATCATACATCAAGCCACGTAACAAGTCTTAACAGATTTAACAAGATTAAAATTTATAGTGTATTTTATTATATAAAACTATGAATCAACAAGAGGAGGAACTTTGGAAAGTTTACTAATACATGGAAACTGAACAAAATGCTTCTGAACAACCAATCGGTAAATGATGAAATTAAAAGGCAAATTAAAAACATTTTTGAGACAAATAAAAAAATACAACATATCAAAATCTTGGGATGTAGGAAAATCAGTTCTCAAAATTCAATTTATGCCAATAAACACCTGCATCAAAAAAGTAAGATCTTAAGTAAACAACCTAATATTGCACCACAAGTAAATAGAAAAATAAGAACAAACTTCATTGAAAATTATTAAAAGAAAAGAAACAATAAAGGTTAGGGCAGAAATAAGCAAAATAGAGACAAAACGTTACAAAAGAGCAATGAAAAAAATAATTTTTTTGAAAAAATAGACAAAATAACTTAGAAACAAAAGACAAGACTCAATAAAATAAAAGATTAAAAAAGACCTTACACAACTGATGCCACAGAAATATGAAGGATCATAAAATACTGTCATTAACTATTATAAGTCAACTAATTGGAACACCTACAGGAAATGAACAAATTATTAAACACATAAAACCTACCACAACGGTATTATTAAAAAAAAAAAAAATCTGAGCACACCAATAGTGAATAAGGACGTTGAATCAGTGGTAAAAATCTCCCATCAAAAAAAGAATGTCAAGATCAAATGGCTTCAATGCTGAATTCTATCAAACATTTAAGGAAAACATTAGTAACAATTATTCTCAAACAATTACAAAATTGGAATAGAAAGAAATTACTTTAAACTCATTTTGCAAGGTCAGTATTACTCTGATATCTCCTACAAAGCTATAGTCATCCAAACAACAACTTACTGACATAAAAACAAACAGATCAATGGGGCAGAATAGAGAGCCCAGCAATAAATACATGTATTTATAGCCAATTGATTTTTGACAAATATGTCAACAACACACAATGGGGAAAGGGCGGTCTCTTCAATAAATGTTGCTGAGAAAACTAGATATCCATATGCAAAAGAATCAAGTTAGAGCCTTATCTTACACTGTAAGCAAAAATTAATTCAAAATAGATTATACTCACAAAGGTAAAAGTTAAAACAGTAAAAGTACAAAAAGAAAACATAAGAGAAAAGTGCCATGAAATTGGTCTTGGCAATGACTTTCTTGGATTTGATCCTAAAATTGCAAACAACAAAAACAAAAATAAATGTGATTGCATCAAGCTACAAAGCTTGTAAACAGCAGAGGAAACAATCAGCAGTGAAGAGACAACCTATGAAATGGAAAAAACTATTTGAAAATCATACATTTGATAAGAGGTTAAAGCCAAAAATATCTAAGTAACTCAAATAATTCTATAGTGAAAAAGAAAAAAACAAATAACTCAGTTAAAAAATGGTCCAAGGATCTGAATAGATATCACTCAAAAGAAGTCATGCATATGGCCAATTGATATATGAGAAACTGTTCAACATTATTAAGCATGAAGGGGAATGAAGATTGAAACCACAATGATATCACCTTCACATCTGTTAGAATGGCTATTATCAAGAATACGAAAGATAAGGTGAAGATATGGTAAAAAGGGATCTCTTGCACACTGTTTTTAGAAATACAAAATTAGTACAGCCATTATGAAGATTCCTCGAAAAGTTAAAAATAAAACTACTATATGATTCTGCTATCATACTACTGAGTGTGCATAAAAGAAATTGAATCACTAAGTCAAAAATATATCTGCACTTCTGTATTCACTGCAGTATTATTCAGAATAGTCAAGATACAGAGTCAACCTAAGTGTCCATCATAGATGAATGGGTAAGAAAATATGGTATATGTACACAAGAGAATACCATTCAGCCATTAAAGGGTCCTGTCATTTGCAACAGAATGGATAAACCTGGAGAGCATTACGTTAAGTGAGAAAAGCCAAGCACATAAAGACAAATAGCTCATGACTTCACTTACATGTGGAGCGTAAAAAGTCAAATTCACAGAAAAAGAGAGTAACGTGTTGATTACCAGAGGCTAGGATAGTAGTGGTGGTGTGGTGGGGAGGCAGCTGGGGAGATACTTGTCAAAGGATGAAAAATTCCAGTTGGATAGAAGGAATGAATTAAAGAAATATATTGTAGAACACGGTGACCATAGTTAATAGCAATGTCTTGTGTTCTTGAAAAATGTGGAAAAAAGCCCACTAAAGGTATATAAAAGCATTTGTTCTTCAGTGTCCTCCCTAGCCATAAACTTGTAAACTTGCATAGTAAGTGACTATTGTAAGTGTGTCCCCATAAAGGGACACAAAGTGTGTAGGGATGTGTGTGTGTGTGTCTGTGTGTGTTCAGGGGATAAGAGATTGGGAAATAGGCAAAGAAAATTCGAAAAATGGAAAAAAAAGATCTAGAGATCAGTCTGCAGCTACCTTGTATAACTGTGCCATTGAAGAAACTACCCCAAATTCCCTTTTTACAATACAGTAAATTTTATTTAATAAAAGTTTGATGAATCAACAATAAACAAATAAAATAATATGGCTATTATTAATATGTTGAAGAGAATATGAGATGAAAATAGAGATGAGAGATGAAAAGATGCAGATAGAAAAACTAGAAATATTAGAAGTAAATACATATGTCTAAAATTAATATTCAATAGAATTATAAAAGCATGAAATACTCTACCTGAAGTTAACAGCTAATAGTTTGGGATTGACGGAATGTTAGATCCAGTAGACGATCTGATTACTTGCTTGAATATGAGTTAATAAAAAATATTTAAAGAGAAGAAACATAATTGGAAGGTACAACACGTAAGATAAAAACCATAGTGAAAAGTTCTAGCATGCATGTTATTTTCACCCTGGGAGGAACACAGATTTAAAAAGGGGGGCAGAAGCAGCATAAATAATGATACCCACAGATAAATATTATTGGCAAGCTTCAAGCAAGATAAAAGTTCAATCATATCCTAGAGACATCACACTAAAATTGCTAAAACTAAAGATAAGCTTAAATGCCGCAATAAGAGGAAAAGAAGACATTTTGTTCAAATAAGCAACAATACTACTGACAGTTGACTTTTCAACATAAACTGTGAATGCTATAAGACAATTTAGGTATATCTTTAATGTGCTAAATAAAACAATAGTCAACGTAAAATCATATACCCAGAAAACATAATTTCCAAAACTAATACCAACAAAAAATTTTAATACATAAAAGAATGAGAGAATTTCTTGTCAGCAAACCTGTAGGTTTGCATTAAAAGAAGAGTTATGCAGGCAGAAGAAAATGGCCCAAATGGGAAAAATGGGCAGGAGAGTGGAAGAACAATGAAAAAAGCAATATAAGAGCACATGCAAAGGAATACAGACTGATTAAACAATAAAAGTTATGGGTGGTGGGGTTTGAGATATGCGTTTAATTATAATCCATTATAAAAACAATACAAAGAAGGGACTAAAGTAGTTAGTGTTCTAAAAGCACAGTGTCTCTAGAAAGTGGTAAAATAAGTAATTTCTACTTGACCATAATAAGTCAAAAATGCATAAACACTCAAATCGGTGTAGAAATGCATGACTACTCACCTCATAGATGGAAATGTGGAATAAAATAAGATAAAGTAAGATAAAACAGGGAGAAAGAACATAGATGAGCCAAATAACAATAATATATTCATAAAGCAAACACAAATGTGTCTGAAATTAAATTAAAGGCAACTAAAGTGCTGAAATTAAAGCATAAAGACTGACTGATTTTGTTAAAAAACAAAACTGTATTACACTTAACACATTCTCAAATGAACACGAAGAAAACACCCAAAATGAAGATGGAAAAATATATACCATGAAAAATTAAACAAAACAAAGTTGGTATAGTCGTTATGCTATTAGAATACATAGCTAATAAGGCAAGCAACTTTTCTGAAGAGTAACCTTTGATAATGACAAGGCAGCCCTTCTACTACAAATAGATCATAAAACCAGTTCTCTGGCGCATACAACAGTATTGCTTCTAATGATACATGACTTAATTTGACAGACTGAAAATAAGAATAAGGCAAATTCCAATCATCCTGGGGTATTTAAAATCAAAAGTCAAAATACTAGAAGTTCTAGAACTTCACCAAAAAGACCAGGAGAAGCAAACAGGGAAGGGACCTGTTTTTTCTCCTCTAGTCTTACAGTTTACCTCTATTGCCCCCTACTGGCAGAGTTCATGAGGTGCCAACACGCTAACAGCGATGTGGTTGTAGGGTTCACCCAATCCAGCATCCAAGATCTGAGTGCGTAGGGATGGGTTTGGAGTCAAGGGACTTAATTGGCTCAAGTATTTCAGCTTTTTTTTTTTCCACCAAATACCTCCTCTCCACCCATTTACGAATACATTTAATTCAATGTTATTCTGGTTCATTGTGCAGTCATCACATCTTCAACTGTTCTGTATTATTTTAATGTACTTGTTCAAAGCGATAAAACAACAATGTTTTATCATTGTGGAAATGAGTAGGTTATTTTACCTGTAAAGAATATTACTAAAGCAAGATAAATTATGTCAACTGGCTCAACAGCAAACACTCTTTAAAGGCAAATGATTAATTTCTATTTGGCCGTGTGATGACAACTACATATAATTCCTGCCCCTTACTTGCTCTCATATTGATAGTTTGATATACTTAACTAATATTTAGTAATACTATGCTTACAATAAATGTGAAATAAGCATTTAGATCACTGTCTGGAAGCTTTAAAAAGCTGTTAAAGTGATCTGATATTTACCCATGTAACTTTTCTTTAAGATAAACAAATAGGAGAAAGAAATACATGGTAAACATGTAAATGTGTGTTTGAATTCTAATGAACATTTCAAACTATGAGGCTATTCAGCAAGAGGGATAGAGACAATGTTATTTCATTATGCGTACATCACACAGATGAGTTGCATTTGTGTTTGGGTATGCATAAACAGCAAAAGGATGTACAGAACAGTTTTTCAAACAATTCAGAAAGAAATTTAGCTGAAGGGTTTGCGTGTTACATTAAACAAATGAAAACCAAATTGCATTTCATATTTTATTTGTAAGATCCTCCAGGCCTGCACAGAGTAGAGGACTAAATGACAAACTTTGCTTTAACCTTCATCTTGGAATTCATTTCCTACCACTCTTCCTCTTATTAAATTGAACTGTTTGTCCTAAATCTGCCTGTGTACATGGTAAACTGTAACCTAACTTAATGTGTAAACAACCTGCAACCTAACTTCAGAGCATACATTATAACAAGTAGCAAAATCTCAGCGAATCATAGCAGCCTAACCTTCAGCCAACTGTAGGCCGAAACCTGCCAAAACATCCAAATAAAGCAAACACAGAACTCTAGTCAATCAAGTTATTTCCGCATGTCATTTCCATTTCTCCAGCTATAAATATTGCCTGCAACGCCTTGTAGGATGAAGCTCTCTGCACTGCTTTTGGTCCTGAATGTTATCTGGTTCATAAATATTTTTTATTTTCTCTGCTCAAATGAACTCTGTTAAATTTAACTTGTCTAAGATTTTTCTTTTAACACTGTCTAAGTTTATATTGGGAGAAGATCTCCGAAGCAGATGTAATTGCTTTTATAACAATGTCCATCCATTTATTCTTTAAATCTCCCACCAGCATTTCCACTGTGTCTCATTATTCAGGTTTCCTACTCCATGAAGACATTATCTCGGGATACCTTTTGGTCTTCACAGAAAAAGGTTGACACACAAAGACCAAGTGATTGAACATCATAATTGGTAATTAGTTCAGGGTTTTAAAAACTGTTCCTCTGGGATACATTTTAATGTAACTAATAGCAAATCACTTCAAGATGCTCTTCCTTGGGGTCCCTTGTCCTTGAGTCAGGAACCATGCTTTTCATTGATCTTAAGTATAAATAAACCAATACTAAAGCAAGCATGAAAGAGCTCATTTGATAGCAAACTGGCAAGAGCTACTGTACTTTTAGTTTTTTACAGTGATTTAATACAGGTCACCATTTGAACATGACAATACTCTGCAAAAAACTACAGTGAGTATTTGTGGGCAGACTGTCTAATTCTTAAGTTTACCATAAAATCATGGCCTGAGTAGGGATATTTTTGAGCCAGGTAACATATTTAATTCCTTTTTAGCCATAGCGCGCACACACACACACACACACACACACACACACACACACACAATCCATCCGCGGATTGTACTTTAATTCAAAACAGGGGATTTTATGCTATCAATGTATCAAAATACTGATGATGCAAGTATTTATATTGCCTGCCAGCCTTTCAAAATTTTTCCTTTCATATCAAATATGCAAAAGTTGGAGTTTAAAAGACAGTCAACTAAATTTAGGTTAACATACTTTACCAAGTTATGGGAATGCTTGACATGTATGAGAAATTGTTTTAGAATATGTCCTTTCTTTAATTATCATAAAGACTTAGCTAAATAGTTTAAGAATTAGCTTGCAAAACTTCTCATTGTATCAGGATGCTCCAAGCTGCTTAAAACGCCTCTCAAAAATAGAACCTTACAAGGGTTTCATTTACTCATTTAGTGTTCATATTCTACCTACATATATAAGAATCTGTGACAGACTCTATAAAATGGTGAGTGGCATGTTCAGAGTTGAATTTAAAAAAAAAAAGATTTCTTCCAAAACTTAGAAAACAATGTAAATGTGAAAAATAATGTCTTCCCAAACATAGAGAATAAAATGCTTTCAGACAGGAATTGCATTGGCTTCAGATGTCCTAGGGTGACCAACTTTCCCAGGTTGCCTGAGACTGACAGGTCTCCTAGGATGTGGGTCTTTCAGTGGCAAAACTTGGACAATCCCTGGCTAACCAAGTGGTTGATTATCCTTTGTAGGGTAGGGCCATGATTTGTATGCAGGTATTGACTCTCCTTAATCTCCGCCACCTTTTCTCTTTTTACAATTTATTATACTGCCTTCACACTGATCTTCCTTTCCTACCTCTCTGATCACTTCGAAACCTAGAAAATTAAGAAGTAGCTACTTTCACTTCTTTTCTAGTACTTCAACAGTGAAGCTAAGCTGAAGAGAATGTAACATTCTCCTTAAACGATGCTTGAACTAGAATCACCTCTGACGTAGCCCTACCTAATAGAAAGTGGCCTAGAATGAAACTGTCTGACAGAAGTCATTCAGGAATATGAGAGTACGAGGAAATTTGTATCACTCTGTCCCCATAAAACACAGTGGCTGCTGTGGGGAGTTCTTAGTACCTTGCCTTAGACAACATAGGCCCTTTAAACGTGTGCCGATATTGTTTATTATGACAATGAAGATGAAAATACTTGAAGACGGAGATGATGATAATGATGTAATGGATACATAAGAATAAACTGTGCTGTTGGAGTTGACATAGGTATAACATTGGCTTATAAAATGCAACATGAGTGAATTTTGTCATTAGACTCCCTGGATTCAGATTTCCATGTCGCCAGTGTCTGACTGTGTGACAATAAGCACATTTGATAACTACCAAATTTCACCAACTACTTCATATGTAAAATAGTGACATAAATATTATTAATTTTTTTTGAGACAGAGTTTCGCTCTTGTTGCCCAGGTCGGAGTGCAATGGCGCGATCTCGGCTCACTGAAACCTCCGCCTCCCAGGTTCAAGCAATTCTCCTGCCTCAGCCTCTTGAGTAGCTGGATTACAGGCATGTGCCACCATGCCCAGCTAATTTTGTATTTTTATTAGAGATGGGGTTTCTCCATGTTAGTCAGGCTGGTCTCAAACTCCCAACCTCAGGTGATGCGCCCGTCTTGGCCTCCCAAAGTGCTGGGATTACAGGCGTGAGCCACCGCACCCGGCCCTATTAATTCTTAAACTTATCCTCATGATTCAGCAAAATAGCATGGTGAATGGCACATAAATCAAGCATCATTGTGTATTATTAGTAAATGTTTGGTGTTCTAAAGTAAGTAAACAGAATGTGACCTCAATTCACTCCTTCCAGGAAAAGGTTGCCAGTGTTTATTTGGCAGTGCACTGCATCCTGCCAGACAAAATGGTCTAAGTTTTTTCTGTATGTAGTTTTATATCACTTTCATTTTATTCTGGCAATTCTATATCACTTTCATTTTATTCTGGCAATTCATTATTATAAATAAATCCTATTGTTAAACTTAAATTGATAATGTTCTACAAACCAGGTGGTGCCTGTAAACACAGTCTCCATTTAAGATGGACAAATACTGTCTCCCTCTGAATTCATCCTCTATGATGCCTTCAGGGCTGGCTTTCTAAAACTGGGGTATGTCACATACTACTTCCTCTCTCAGAAATCTAAAATTTCTCCCTTATCGACTACTTAACAACAAAATAATTCCTTACCTTAGAATATAATAATCTCAAGTAGTCCTATCTTTTCTTATTTTTATTTTTATTTCATTATGACAGGGTCTGGCTCTGTCACCCAGGCTGCAGTGCAGTGGCACAATCTCGGCTCACTGCAACCTCCGCCTCCCAGGCTCCAGCGATTCTCCTGCCTCAGCGTCCCAAGTAGCTGGGATTACAGGCCGGCTAATTTTTGTATTTTTTGTAGAAACGAGGTCTCACTATGTTACCAAGGCTGGTTTCAAACTCCTGGGCTCAAGCCATCTGCCCACCCCAGCCTGCCAAAGTGCTGGGACTACAGGTGTGAACCACACACCAGGCCAGTTTTATTGGAATTTATCTTCTCTTTCCTCTTCCCTTTCCAATCGCACTCCTCAAAACCTGCTTACTTTTGGAGACAATACCACATTCCTGTGGACTAAAAGCAGAGTTATTCATGAGAATAAAAATTGTCCCATATAAGGGAAGATATGCAGGAGAAAGAAGAACAGTATAAATGGTAAATATAAAGGAATATTGACTAAGCAATAAAAATCACGGGTGCTAGGGTTTCAGATATCACACTCATGTTTTTGGTTAGTATTTTCATTATTTTATCCAAGACCAAATTAAGTGTGCTATGTTACTATATAAAATTGTTTTATAACTCCAATGATTTTCTCATGGTCCCAAAGAATATTAGTTTATTGTTCATTGTTTTATCACTGATGCTGAAATAACTGAGAATGTATATTACATTTTCTACATCGTCATAATCTAATAGCATAATGATTAGCATAAACTGTGGCCTTTAAATATTTAATGAATAAAGTCACCTTTATTATAATTATTATAGAATTAATTGAATTATCTTTTATTGCCCTAACCCAATCTGGTTATTCTTAAATTATTATAATATTTATTCAATCTTTTCAAATACATTTCTGGAAATTTCTTCCATTAAATAGTAAAAAACTCCCTCATTATTAACGACTGAATACTCACATACTAAAACATGATTTTTCAAAATTATATATTTGGAACTCTAAATAATAATTATTTTTACCTTTGATTGGTAGCTCAATAAGTCCCCAGAATAGGGCTAAAGATTCATATTCATTATTTAATCCTCAAAGAATCTCGGTGAGTTTACTACTGTTATCTCCATTTAACCAATGGGGATGGACTGAGGCTTGAAGAATGTCTTAAAAATGGAAGGTCACAGACAGGGTCAAGATTAGGCCATATGTATTATAATGATTCAAACTAAATTTCACTGATTTTTCTTGCCTCCAGATTTTGATCAATAGAAAATCTAAGCTAGATTAAACATAATTACTAGAGCTGAATTGATAATTTCAGAGGAGATGACCAGGGATGGACACGGCCAGGAGTAAATGGCTTTTGATTTGCAGCAAATAGAAATAGACTTTCTATTTCTGGAGAAAGACACTTTCCTGCTGATGCAGGCAGGCCCTCTTCTTCTGGATACTGTGGCTTTTTTGGAGCCTACAGTAGCATGCAAGTCAGACTAACATCAATTGCAGAATTTCAAGAGAAACTACTGACCACTGTTTGGACACCTATGGATAGAAAATAGTACATATCTCCACCTTAAGCCAATGATGGACATCCTGAACAAGGTTTTCATAGTCAGTAGATACCCTCTCCTCACAGTGAACTGTGTCACAGTGTCATTCCAGGTTCAGCCTCCTTCACACACAATAACCACCCAAACCAAGGAACCCGCAGTGAGAACAAAGTCAAGCAAACCAATGTCATAACTCCAGAGAAGGGGGTGAGGACATTACAAGAAGAAAAGAGAAACAGAATCCTCAGGTTCCCTTGCCTTTGCTCTTAACTTAGAGATGGTGGAACAGGGGTGCACTTTTCCATCTCCTGTGAACTTTAAGAATTTTTTGAAACTTGCCCTTGTGTACTTGGGACTGGGATCTCCTTCTTCATACCCTGCTTTAGGAAAATTGATCAGTAACAGTTACGTGGATAAATAACATTGATAAATAACAGTACTTACATTAATAAGTGACAGTTCTCCAAGAAAAAAAAAAACAAAGCTTTTTTCTTCAACAATGAAAGCTCAGTTTATATTTGAGTGCCTGTTTTTGGTGATTAAGATCACCAAAAAGCTGAAAGGGGTCTGTTATCTTATAAATTTATCTCAAGAAGCTTTGACGTCAGATTTATGATTAAGATGAAATGACCAGACCAGAACCGCTTACTATTTGAAAACATATTCAACACATAGTATTTTTTAAATTAGTTAATATCACTTCAGTTCAGATCTTTCAAAGATTCTAATATTTGAATTAAATTTTAAGAATCAACTATCTTGTCTATATTTTCCTCTTCCAAATCATCTCGTATTCAAAATAAAAATCCATATTCTTTCAGATCTGTCTTATATTTCTTAGTTTTTGTGTACACTTGCCATATTATTTTGTGTTTTGCTTGAAAGTATATAGTAGAAAGGTGAATAGCAAATTTTTTGGAGTCAGATGATCTAGGTGTTAATCCTGGCACTTATGAGACACACAATCTACCTACTATTATTTTTACTCCCATGCATTGTTTGCTTATCAACTACATAAAGATAAAAATATTAAAGACTCAATGTGCTTGTGAGGACAAAATTGTATCATCTCTGCAGAGGACCTAACATAGAGCCTGTCACATGTCAAAGACCCAAATAATGGTGGCTGTAACATTCCTTCAGTATGAGTAAATTAATACTAAAGCTAGAGATTCTGAAATGGATTATGGATTAGACAAAAGCTCTATTTTTTTCTTCCAGTTTAAAGAGTTAAAGATGAATTTATCAGTAGCTAAAATTTGGTTAACAAATTATTGAGGCTACAAGGCATGAGAGAGCAAAACAGACTAGATTTGTGGACGCACACTCAAAAACACTTTTTATTTATGTCTCTGTTTAGATACCAGAGGTACAATATGATCTCTGAAAACTTAAAGAACATTGATAAACATAAATTTATGACTAAATTCACAACTATTTTGAATACTTTCACTAGATTCATCTAATCATAATAGTTCCAAAAGCCATGAATTCGTGTAACTGTCTGTGCATACAAATGTACCAAAATAAATAAGCATAAAAGAAAACGGACAGCAACCAAGTGCAGTGGCTCATGCCTGTAATCCCTGCAGTTTGGGAGGTCAAGGCAGGAGGATCTCTTGAGGTCAGGAGTTTGAGACCAGCCTGGGTAAGAATGAGACCCCCATCTTTTTTAGAAAAGAAAGTAAAAGAAAACAGAAAACAGAATGCTATGGAAGTTTTGGGGGAAAATAACATAGGACACAGATTTTTCTTGTGTCCTAGAAATTATTTTCCAGAAAACTCCAGTTGCCATTTATGCTTGGGTATCCTTTAGAAATCATGGCTCTGTCTCTCTAACATCTGATATTTATTTCAATTTATTCAATGTTTAGAAATAATAAATCCAAATCTTACAGAGCTTAAATGGCCAGTCTATAGCTATGATGAAATGAAGACACAACCCTACATTTTATATTTTTAAATCCAATTATCTTGCCATTATATAACAGCAAAACAAATAGCTGGTCCAGTGAATTTTGGCAATGTGCTTCTCAAACCGATGAAAAACTACTAATACAGACATTTGATTAAATTGTTTAGTATTTGGACTGTGATACATTAGTCAATGTTCCCATGAATATACAGCCTCAAAATACTAGGTTGGGCATTTTTCATCTGAAATATCCTCACTATAATTAGCCCTGTCAGCTTGTATTATTTCAAGTATCTTTGCTCGTGTATATCTCAAGGACACCTAAATGTACCATGCAATTAACTAAATTATTGAGGTATGTAATAATTTGTATTACAGCTCCATTGGATATATATGCATATCCAGAATATATACATATGTGTGTGTATATATATATATATGTGTGTGTGTATTTAGACAAGTTTTAAGTGAAAATGATATCAAAATATTTGAAGGCATTTTGAAAATATTTTTCTTCTCAACCACTGGCTTCAGTTTGAGTCATCAATGGAGGAACATACATCAGAGAATGGGATTAGTCTGGAAAACAGAGTATATTGCCTGGAATACAGAACTCCATCAAATGGGAATTCCTGCTGCAAAGTTGTGTCCAATCAAGAATTAAGTCCCTAAGTACACACACTCCTCATGTTATCTCCTAACAACACAGGGATTCTTTCCATTTTCAGTTGTTTATTCTGTGCAATTACTGCCATTCAATCACCCAAGCAGGATGAATCACAGCGTTGTAACTGAGTTCATTATTCTGGGCCTCACCAAAAAGCCTGAACTCCAGGGAATTATCTTCCTCTTTTTTCTCATTGTCTATCTTGTGGCTTTTCTCGGCAACATGCTCATCATCATTGCCAAAATCTATAACAACACCTTGCATACGCCCATGTATGTTTTCCTTCTGACACTGGCTGTTGTGGACATCATCTGCACAACAAGCATCATACCGAAGATGCTGGGGACCATGCTAACATCAGAAAATACCATTTCATATGCAGGCTGCATGTCCCAGCTCTTCTTGTTCACATGGTCTCTGGGAGCTGAGATGGTTCTCTTCACCACCATGGCCTATGACCGCTATGTGGCCATTTGTTTCCCTCTTCATTACAGTACTATTATGAACCACCATATGTGTGTAGCCTTGCTCAGCATGGTCATGGCTATTGCAGTCACCAATTCCTGGGTGCACACAGCTCTTATCATGAGGTTGACTTTCTGTGGGCCAAACACCATTGACCACTTCTTCTGTGAGATACCCCCATTGCTGGCTTTGTCCTGTAGCCCTGTAAGAATCAATGAGGTGATGGTGTATGTTGCTGATATTACCCTGGCCATAGGGGACTTTATTCTTACCTGCATCTCCTATGGTTTTATCATTGTTGCTATTCTCCGTATCCGCACAGTAGAAGGCAAGAGGAAGGCCTTCTCAACATGCTCATCTCATCTCACAGTGGTGACCCTTTACTATTCTCCTGTAATCTACACCTATATCCGCCCTGCTTCCAGCTATACATTTGAAAGAGACAAGGTGGTAGCTGCACTCTATACTCTTGTGACTCCCACATTAAACCCGATGGTGTACAGCTTCCAGAATAGGGAGATGCAGGCAGGAATTAGGAAGGTGTTTGCATTTCTGAAACACTAGTAGTTTCAACATGCAACATCACTTCTGTACTCCAGAACCATCTTCTAGAGCATCTCAGATTTTACTGGTTTTTCATACTTACCTCCACTCCAATTTTCCCTTCCCTCTTATTCCTGCCTTCTTCCTAGCAGTCTCATTGTCTCCAAAATTCTGTACTCTTTATGTGAAGAATATTCATAAAGCAATATGCACAATACCCTCACATAAATATATGTCATAATATATATTCCAACATTTTCCAAAAATATGTACATAACTTCGAATACTTATATATGCATATACACAAATATTTACCTATATGTGCATGTGCACATCATACATGCAAATATCACAAAACATTTTGTGTATTTTGTGCCATTTATTTGTTGGTATGTGAATGTGAGCTGGAGAGAAGTAGTGTGTGTGATAAATTTTCCCTTGCTTAATAGGCTGGGTTCATTCACTTACAGCATTGTGATAATGAGGTATCTACTCTGGGGTTGAACCTCATTACGTTATTTAGATTTCATTGGAGAAAAATCGTGCTCTACTGAATAAAATTATTGGGCAAACTCTAAAGTCTCCATGTGTTCAGGAAAAAGTGACAGAATATTACTCCAGTCCTTTTAAACCAGTGAGTACACTTATGCCTCATGCAACATTAGTCTGACATTAGGCAGGCAGTCAATAGTGTGTATGGCGGTTCAATGGGTCCATCAATGAAACAGGCACCTTCAGTCATCTTGTTCTGCCCTTCAATATTGTTTTCCCTAGGATCATGAATGGCTTTTGTATTACTAGGCGTCTCATCCATAACCCAAGTAGAATGAAGGCTAAGGACAGAGATTTCATGAGGCAAATGAAGCACTGCCTATTATTTTTATAAGGATAACCCAGTAAGTATAAGCTACATCTCATTGGCTATAGCTATATTATTACACCATTTCAAGTTGTAAGTACCAATTGGAAGAGTATATTCTAAAATTAGGCACTTGGCACCCCTGAAAAAATTTGGATGTAACATAGATGGGATGAGAAATGGGTGTCTATACTATGGCAGTTGCTATGAGTATCTACTAGCAAATGTATCATAAATGCAGATTTGAAGTCACAAACTAAATCATGAAATAAAGTTAGGTTGAGAGAGTGAGAATGCCAAAACTGAGGCTACATAATAAAAATATACAATATACAACACATCTTATAACAAGTTGGAAGAAATATATCATTTGCTGTGATTAGTAAAGCATATTTTTACAATATATTTCCACAATTATGAAAACATGTTGGAATTTTGTCTTACAAATACATCTGGAGCAGTTGTGTCCATCATCAGATAAATTGATAAAGAAAATGATAAAACATTTCATGTTTTACACGTATAACATTTTGTTTTATAATTATAACATTTTGTTTTATATATGTGACATATATTAGTAACATGTTATATAACATATATAACACTTATGTTATATATAACATATTATATATAACTTTACTGTATATGTATATGTAATGTCATGTTGTTATATATATCATAAACTGTTATATATATAACCTTAGATATATGTTATATAACCTTGGATATAAACTGTTATACATATATGTTATATATATCATAAACTGTTATATATATGTATATATGCAATGTTTCATTATATGTTATATGTAACATAACTGTAATATAAGCAAATATTAAAAATCCCTTTCTGCATTATACTTTTTTTTTACTTAACAATATAATCTAGAGATAGCTTCATAATGGTCTTACATACAAATGTGCACTCACACATATATATACCTATATGTACAGATATACATATATCCACATGTGCATACATGTATTACACATTCCACAATATTTGTAATTCTTTGAACCTTTGGAATTTATTGAGACTCATTTTTAGGGTGAAATAAATTATCCATTTTTAAGTTGTTTTATATGTGCTGGTAAATAATCTCCACTCTTTTTTTGGGAGAGTATAGTATACAGTATTAGTTTAATGCATGCATTTTCAAGTTTATTAAGGTATTTACATATTTGATATTTCTGAAAATAGAATACTATTGGTTTATTTTTTAGACTATTTTGTTAGGTTCATATAATTTGTTGATATTGTGTTCTCATTTTATTTATTCTTTATGACATCTTTTTGAGATCAACTTGCATTCATTTTTTTGTAATTCAAAAATAATTGACATAAAATTTATGTATTATTGTTTACAGCCTAACATTTTGAAGTATAGATGCATTGTGGAGTGACTACATTTAGTTAATTAACATATGATATGCATTACCTCACATAATTATCATTTTCATGGTGGAAACACTGTATACCCACTCTCTTAGTATTTTTAAGAGTACAGTATATATGGTTTTCTACAGAGATAGGAAAGCCACAATGTCATACAGGAAAAAACAAATTTTGTACAAAGAGAAATAATTACAATATACTATATTTCTCTCATGAGTTCCTTAAATTATATTTTATGGTTGAAAGAAAAATTATAACAACATTAGTTGGTATAAAAAAACTATACATTGTGATGTAATAAAAATGCTATACATAAGTTAGAATCCTTAAAAATCTTAAAGAAAACATCAGAAAATCAATAAATGAAAAGCAGAGAAATAAAAGACAGAAGAAACAAACACAAAACAAATTAAAAAGTCGACAAATTGTAGCATATTAATGATTACCTTAAAAGTAAATGATGCAATAATATATGCAAATTGAAAGACAGAGATTGGACACTGGATAAAAATACATAATTGAACTATAAACTGTCTATGAGAAACTCACATAAAGTAACAAAACAAGTAGGTTGAAAGTAAAACTACAGAAGAAGTCATAGCATGTTATGTCAACAAAAAGGAGAAGTATCAATAACAACAAACATAGAAGGGTGATCAATGCACAGGCTTTACTTCTCAACAGTTTCACCAGATAGCCATAAATGGGTATTTTATTCCATTTACACAGGTTACAAATAATATAATGAAAATACTGTCATTTAAATCTTACATATTTGATAACAATATCAGAAAAATTTCCAACATAGATATATCTTTATCATATAATAGGTTATGTTGACCACTTTAGCTTATTCCCCCAGCCTTAAGGTATAGTTTACACCCACACACACACACACACACACACATATACATATATTTATAGTATGCAATGTGATGCTTTTATATAGGTATAAACTGTGAAGTTATCAAACAAAATGAATTTACATATCCATCACCTCACATAATTATCTTTTATTGTGATTACATTTAAGATTCACTCTCTTAGCAATTTCCAAGTGTAAATGAACAATTAAAAGAAAAAAATTAAAGAAAACACCTACAGCTAGATTAAATACAGGTTGAAAGCCAGATATAAACCATATAGACACACACAATATAGATATTGGTAGACATAAATATGGCTATGGGTACAAGCATGAGTATGAATATAGTTAAGTGTTATAGATCCAAGTTTACTTAAGATAGGACCATTTTATTTATTTATTGAGACAGAGTCTCACTCTGTCACCCAGGCTTGAGTGCAGTGGCACGATCTCAGCTCACTGCAACCCAGCCTCTGGGGTTCAAGTGATTCTCCTGCCTCAGCCTCCCAAGTAGCTGGGACTACATGCACCAACCACCACATCTGGCTAATTTCTTGTATTTTTAGTAGAGGCAGGGTTTCGCTATGTTAGCCAGGCTGGTCTCAAACTCCTGTCCTCAGGTAATCCACCTGCCTCTGCCTCCCAAAGTGCTGAGATTACAGGTGTGAGGCACCGCGCCCAGCCTAAGACAGGCCTATTTTAAACATCTTATACCAGTGTAATTACTACTAACAGTTCCTGATTTATTCTGAAAAAGTCTACAGGGAATAACACACACTAGGACCTGTTGGGTGGAGGGTGGCGTAGAGAGGGAGAGTATCAGGAAAAAAAGCTAAGGCATGCTGGTCTTAATACCTAGGTGATGGGTTGATAGGTGCAGCAAACCACCATGGCACATGTTTACCTACATAACAAACCTGCACATCCTGTACATGTACCCCAGAACTTAAAAAAAAAAAAAAAGTCTACTTTGGCTGATAAATGTTAAGTTCCCAATGTACACAAATAGAAATATACATATACATATAAATAGATATAACTGAAGTTATATGTATATGTATTTTCTATAAATTTATACGCCTATGTAGGTATACATTCTATATATCAATAGAAAATTACTTTTTCTATGAATTAAAAGTGGAACATTGAGTCATTCTATTATATTTTAAATTATGGTTTCTATAAACATGTTCAATGACATAAAACCTTTCTGAGGCTCCTTTTACCTCTGTGTTTCTCAGGTTGTCAGTGATGAAGTTAAACATCAGGGTAATAACTCTGTATAGCATAGAGATGAGCCTGTCTGTGGCTAGATCTGGGCTTGCCTTAGACATGTGAGTGTTGACTGGAGAAGGAGTAAATGTAGGTAAATGTCAATATGCCATAGAACAAACAGACCGTAAGGAGGTGGGAAGTGCATGTAGAGAAGCACTTTGCACTCCACTCTACACACTGGATCTTTAGGATAGTGGAGATGATGTATATGTAAAAGTTAAAGGCAGCCAGAAAAGCACTGATCCCCAAGATAACTGATTCCACTAAAACAAGCATGTTTGCCAGGTGCATGGACTGGCACAACAGGGCCCCCATCGGTGAGATATCACAGTAATACTGGTTAACTCGATCAGGCTTGCAGAAAGACAGGCAGAGGGTAGACACTACGTGGAGGAGGAGGAAATTTAGAAACCCAGCTGCTCAGGTCCCATAAACCAGCTGGACAGAGCCAATTTGTTCATGATCAGGATGTAACAAAGGGAGAAACATGTGACCACACACCAGTCATAAGCCGTAACAGTGAGAAAGCTTTCTTCCCAGCCCAGGCCACTAGGAAATAGGGCTGCAAAGCTCACCTAACAAAAGAAATGCTGTGATCCTCAGTCTAGAGAATCTTAGGCATCTTAGGTATAGTAGCTGATGAACACAATATGTCTAAGATGGACACATTTGCCAAAAAATAATACATGAGTAGTGTGCAACTTAATCACAGTCCCAATGGCCAAGAGAATGTCTCCACTTCGCACCAAGAACACCTGACAGATAATGGCAAGGGCCACAAAAAGAAGGTAGTGCTCATTGGAGAAGTAAGAGAGCCCTATAAGGATAAACTGAGTCACCGTGAACAAATTGTGAACACCCATCCTCTCTCTTCACAAGGGTTTTTCTGTGGAGGTTGGGGGAGGGGAATGAAACAAACAAACATACATTAGTATAAAAAAACAAGAGGCCCAGTGATAAGAAGTTCTTGGAAAACAGCTGATATTGTGAGGCTGATGAATGATGTTAGCCCTATTTTAATTAGATGTTTCAATTATTATGAGTATTGCTGGAAACCTCCATCATATTTCTTCAAATATTTATCCTCAGTTCCCTATCAAGGGGAAACCCTCTATATAAATGAAGAGACGTTCAAAACTTTACCTTCTCAGTACAACTGTCTTTCATTGTTGACCCTTCAGCAGTATTTGGGATTTCATAATTCAGTGAAAGCTGATGGTGCATTTCTCAAACCTACTTGGGTACTTTATTCTGCCTGCATTATCTCAATGTTTATAATTTTGTGCACTATTCCAATACTAAATAACTTGAAGGTAAAAGCTCTGTGTATTATTCCTTGATATAGAAATTTTAGTAAATATTAAGAATTAAAAGACACATAGGAAAAGGTAGATAAAATAATGAAGTGAAGAATAAATGGTGTGTTATATGCTCTGACAAATTTTCCTTATTGGAAAGAAATAAATATGGGAATGTTTTTATAACTTCAACCTAAAATCATTAAAATACTTCCATAGCATATATTTTAATTAAATTTGTACTGTAAAATATAGCTAAACCTAGATGACAGTATCTAAATGTCATTCAAATAAGAAACAATTTACATACATATACAACTCCTTCTCCTTTAATATTTACATATTTGATCTTGTGTATAAGTTTTACTACAAATACAAACATGTATTTTTACAAATTACACATGCTAAAATATATTGGCCTTACTCTTGTTGAATTTTAAAACCACATTTGTATGTATCTTAATAACCCACATAATCACAATGTTTACAAAAATACTTCAACTGAATTTCTTCAATCAATACTTCAATAGATTTTTAATACTGTTATAAAAATAAATGTCTTTTATTTTCATATCTCCTGTATATGATACTAAATTCAAAGATAAAATGTGGTTAAAAATGCAAAAGTCACTTTTAATAATCCAGCCTTCATATTTATTTTGCTTGGTTGAAACTATTAATATTCTTTTTGCTAAGATAACATGTAAAATATAAAAAGTAAAAAAATGCATAGTGATTTATATACACAAATGGAATAAAATAATTTTCCACCACCTTTTCCCCAGCAGTATTTAAATAAAAATAACCAGGAGAACTTGGGACATGTTATTAGTCTTTCCTTAAGCAGCACCAGATCTGTCCCAGATCAATACTTGTAATGAGCAAAAAATCTTACCACCAAGCTCTCCAAATCATGAAATTTAGGAAAGAAAATTACTATAATAACGACACTTGGATATCTTTATTCAGTCAACAAAAGATTAATGAGTGAATGAAAAAGGTTAATCCAAAAACAACCATGTCATTTTTCAAGTTCTCAAATGTTCAAGATTCTACACTGCTATTCAATTTTAGTCTGTCTACATATTTATAAGGTAATATCTTAAAAATATAATAAGATATTTGGGAAATTAAATAAGGTACTTTTTATTATATTTATTATGCCAATTACAATTACAAATAATAATAGAATATTTTTCTCAAGATGATAAATACTTAATTCTACATGTTCTATATTAAATACTCATTTTCCTTTATGCTTACAAGTACAAACTAGGAGATCTATGAAATGACCAAAAAAGACCTCAGAAGTATCCTCTTAAGTTCAAGAAATTACAAGCAAATGCATATAAAAAGTTAAATGAAATATGGAAAACAATTCATGAACAAATTAAAAGTTTGACAAAGCAGTGGAAACCATAAATAAGAACCAAATAGAAATCCTCAAAATAAAGAATAAAATAATTTAATTGAACAATTAAATACAATGCTTCAACAACTAATTTGATCAAGCAGAAAAACCAGTTAGCTGGAAAATATGACATACGAAATTATCAATTCAGAGAAGTAAAAAGAAAAGAATAAACAAAAATGGAAAAGGCCTATGGGAATTATAGGATACCATCAAGCAAACTAACACTTGCCTAATAGAAGTTTCTGAAGGAAAAGAGAGAGGAAAATGTCTAAAAAACATATTTAGGAAATAATGGCTGGAAATTTTTTCATCTGGGGAAAGACAACAAATAGGTACTGGAAGCTCAGAGGCTGCCAATGGAACAACAAAAGAGGAGTTTATAAAGCACATCATAATCAGATTATCAAAAATGAAAAACAAAGAAAAATACTCAAAGAAATAAGAGATAAAAAACATATCACATTCAAGGGAGCTCCAATACAGCATGCAGAAAATTTCTCAGCAGAAATTATTCAGGGCAGGAGATAGTGGGATGATACATTCAAAGTGCTAGAGAAAGAAAAAAATCTGCCAACCAAGAATAATGTATCCAGCAAATCTATCCTTCAGAAATAAGGGAGAAAGACTTTCCAAAGCAAAAAATAAAAAATGTTAAAAAGGCTGAACAAGTTTATCACCACCAGACCTGGCTTATAAGATATGCTAAAGGGAGTTCTTCGAGCTGAAAGAAAAAAATCACTGAGTAATAAAAAAACATTTGAAAACAGTCGAATTCAGAATACTCTAAAAAAGAAATGGCAGTGTGAAAATTACTTATATCTTTACTATGAAGGTTAAATAAAAAGCTATTAAAAATAACAACTAAAATAATTTGTTGAAAGGTATGTAATATGATAAACATAAATGAGGTCAACAATTCAAAATGTGGAAAGTAAGAAAGGAGTTAAAGTTTAGAAGGTTTTTTTAGTGATCAAAGTTAAGTTGTTACTAGGATAAATAATCTAGCTACAAGATATTTTCTGTAAGCTTCATGGTGACCACAAGGCAAAATCTTAAAATAGACACACTAAAATAAAAAGCAAGGAATAAAAATATGCTACTAGAGAAAACGCACAAACACAAAGGAAAACAAAAAGTAAGACCGTATCTATTAGGAATAATCTTTTTTTTTTTTTTTTTTTTTTTTGAGACAGAGTCTCGCTCTGTTGCCCAGGCTGGAGTGCAGTGGCGCCATCTCAGCTCACTGCAAGCTCCACCTCCCAGGTTCACGCCATTCTCCTGCCTCAGCCTCTCCAGTAGCTGGGACTACAGGCACCCGCCACCACGCCCGGCTAATTTTTTTGTGTTTTTCTTAGTAGAGATGGGGTTTCACCGTGTTAAGCAGGATGGTCTCGATCTCCTGACCTCGTGGTCCGCCCGCCTCAGCCTCTCAAAGTGCTGGGATTAGAAGCGTGAGCCACCGCGCCGGGACTGAGTGAGTTTTTAAAACAAGACCCAACAAAATGCTGACCATAGGTTACTCACTTCACCTATAAGGAAAGGGATAAAATTAAAGGAAAAAAAACAAAATATTTTGTGAAAATGGAACTCAAAAGACAGTAGGAGTAGCTATACTTATATGAGAAAAACACAGGCTTGATGTCAAAAACTATAGAAAGAGACAAAGAAGATCTTTATATAATGATTAAGGGGTGAATTCACCAAGAGGTTATAATAATTATAAAAATATATGCACTCAACATTGGAGCATCTAAATATATAAAGCAAATATTAATAAATCTAAGGGGAGAAATGATTGCAAAACAATAATAGTAAGGAGTTTGAATACCCCACTTTCATCAATTAATAGATCATCTGGATAAAAAAGCAACAAAGGATCTAAAGTCCATTCTAGACCAAATGACTTAACAGACATTAAAATAACATTTCATCCAAAAGCTGCAAAATATACTTTCTTCTCAACAGCAAATGAAACATATTTCAGGACAGACTATACATTAGGCCCCAGAAATAATCTAGGCAAATTTAAGAAGACTGAAATTCTATCGAATATCTTTTGGGACCACAATGTTATAAAACTAGATAGTCAATTCCAGAAGAAAATTTGCAGAATTTACAGAGACATGAGAATTAAACAAACAACATGCTCTTGAATAGACAAAGGGCCAGTGAAGAAATTAACTAAAAGTTTAAAAATTTTTGAAACAAACAAAAATGGAAACACATTATACCAAAACCTATGGGACACATCAAAAACAGTTCTAGGAGAGAAGTTTACAGCAATAAATGCCTCCATCAGAAAAGGAGAAAGAGCTAAAATAAACAGCCTAACACTACACCTCAAGGAACCAGAAAAAAAACATTCGTAGAAGGAAGGAAGTAATAAGAAAAAAAAACACAAGTAAATGTAATAGAGAAAAAAAATAATGTAAAAGGTCAATGAAACAAAGAGTTGGGTTTTTTTTAAAGATAAACACACAAATCTTTAGGTAGACAAACTAAGAAAAAAGAGACAATATTCAAATAGATAAAATATGAAAAAGGAGACATTACAAATGATACCACAGAAACACAAAGGATCATAAGAGACTATTATAAGCAATTATATGACAACAAACTGAATATCCTAGAAGAAATGGATAAATTCTTAGACACATAAAACCTACAAAAATTGCATTATTAAAAAATAGAAAATCTGAATAGACCAATAAGTGAAGAAATTGAATCAGTAATAAGTTCCCTATCAAAAAATAAAAAGAGCCCAGGACCTGATCGATTTATAGTTTTTTCATATTATAATTTTTCATATTATAAAAAAAGTTAAAAAAGATCTTACACCAGTTCTTCTTAAATGATTCCAAAATATTGAAGAAGAAAGAACACTTTCAAATGGATTCTATAAACAGAGGCCTCAGAAATAACACTACACATCTACAACCATCTGATCTTTGACAAACCTGACAAAAACAAGCAACAGGGATTCTCTATTTAATAGTGTTGGGAAAACTGGCTAGTCATATGCAGAAAACTGAAACTGGGCCCCTTCCTTACACCTTATACAAAAAATAACTCGAGATGGATTAAAGACGTAAACGTAAAACCTAAAACCATAAAAAACCCTAGATGAAAAGCTAGCCAATACCATTCAGGACATAGGCATGGGCAAAGACTTCATGACTAAACCACCAAAAGCAATTGCAACAAAAGCCAAAATTGACAAATAGGATCTAATTAAACTAAAGAGCTTCTGCACAGCAAAAGAAACTATCATCAGAGTGAACAGGCAACCTACAGAATGGGAGGAAATTTTTGCAATCTATCCATCTGACAAAGGGCTAATTCCACAATCTACAAGGAACTTAAACAAATTTACAAGAAAAAGTCAAACAACCTCATAAAAAAGTGGGCAAAGGATATGAACAGATACTTCTCAAAAGAAGACATTTATGCGACCAACAAACATGAAAGAAAGCTCGTCATCACTGGTCATTAGAGAAATGCAAATCAAAACCACAATGAGATACCATCTCACACCCGTTTAGAATAGCGATCATTAAAAAGTCAGTAAAGAACAGATGCTGGAGAGGATGTGGAGAAATAGGAACATTTTTACACTGTGGGAGTGAAAATTAGTTCAACCATTGTGTAAGACAGTGTGGCGATTCCTCTGAGATATAGAACTAGAAATACCATTTGACTCAGCAATCCCATTACTGGGTTTATACCCAAAGGACTATAAATCATTCTACTATAAAGACACATGCACACGTATGTTTATTGCAGCACTATTCACAACAGCAAAGACTTGGAACCAACCCAAATGCTCATCAATGATAGACTGGATAAAGAAAATGTGGCACATATATACCATGGAATACCATGCAGCCATAAAAAAGAATGTGTTCATGTCCTTTGCAGGGATATGGATGAAGCTGGAAATCATTTTCAGCAAACTAACACAGAACAGAAAACCAAACACTGCATGTTCTCACTTATAAGTGGGAGCTGAACAATAAGAACATATGGGCACAGGGAGGGGAACATCACACACCAGGGCTTGTCAGGGGGTGGGGGGCAAGGGGAGTGATAGCATTAGGAGAAATACCTAAGTAAATGACAGGTTGATGGGTGCAGCAAACCACCATGGCACATGTATACCTATGTAACAAACCTGCACGTTCTGCACATGTATCCCAGAACTTAAAGTATAATAATAAAAAAAAAACCTGGCAAATCCAATTCAGCACAATGAAAAGATAATTTATCATGCTCAAATTGGGATTAATCCCATGGATACAAGAATTCAACATATGCAAATCAATACATGTGATATATCATATCAGCAGAATCAAGGGCAAGAAACTCATGATCATTTCTATAGATGCAGAAAAGCATTTGGTAAAATTCAAAAATCCTACATGATCAAAACTCTCAACAAATTAGGTACAAAAGAAATGTACCTCAACACGATAAAGGCCATATATGAAAAACCCACAGCTAACTTTCTGCTGAATGAGGACAAGTTGAAAGCTTTTCCCCTAAAATATAGAACAAGAAAAGAGTGTCCACTTTTGGCACTCCTATTCAACATAGTACTGGAAGTTTTAGCCAGAAGAATTGGGGAAGAGAAAGAATAAAAGGCATCCAAATTGGAAAGGGGGAAGTTAAACTGTCCCTGCTTGAAGGTGCCATGTTATCATACACAGAAAACTTCTTTTAGAACTGATTAACAAAGTTAGAAAAGTTGCAGGATATAAAATCAACATACAGATCAGTAGCATTTCTGTATACTAATTTTTCAGCTATAAAAATAAGTCAAGAACAGAATTTCATTCTCAATAGGCAAAAATATAAAATAAAATACAGTACTTAGGAATAAACTTAACTAAGGAGGTTAATGATTTCTGTACTGAAAACTATAAATCATTGATAAAAACTTGAAGAAAAACACAAATAAATGGAAAGATAGCCTGAGTTCATTTTGGAAGAATAAATAAAAATCTCTATACTCCCCAAAGCAATCTACAGATTTCATGCAATCCCTATCAAAATACCAACGACATTCTTCGCATAAACAGAAAAAAAATTCTATAATTCTTATGACACCACAAAAAAAAACACCAAATAGCCACAGCAATTTTGAGTAAAAAGAACAAACCTGAAGACATCATATCACAGGCTTCATAATACACTACTACAAGACTACAGTAAACAAAACAGCATGATACTGGCATAGAAGTAGACATAGAGGCCAATGGAACATAATAGAGATACCAGAATTAAATCTATAAATGTACAGTTAAGTGATTTTCAACAAAGGTGCCAAGATCCCACAATGGGGAAAGGACAGCTTCTTCAATGAATGGTGTTGGAAAATTGGATATTCACATTCAGAAGACTAAAATTAGACCCTTATCTCTCATCATATATAAAATGCAACTTAAAATAGATTACAGACTTAAATGTAAAATCTGAGACTATAAAACAACTAGAAAAAAATAGGAGAAAGCTTTATAACATTGGTCTGGGGAGGATTATTTGGATAAGACCTCAAAAACATAGACACCAAAAGCACAAATATACATATAGGATTACATCAGATTAAAAAGCTTCTACACAGCAAATAAAACAATCCACAAAGAGACAATCTACAGAATAGAAGAACATTTACAAATTATTTAACTGATAAAATGTTAATATCCAAAACCAAAAGTCCTCCAGCAACTCAACAGTAACAAAAAAACACCAAGAACCTGATTTAAAAATGGGCAAAATACCTAAATAAATAGTTCTCAAAAGAAGGCACATAAATGTCTAACAGGTATATACAAAAAAAAGATCAACAGTACTAATGTTCTGGGAAATGAAAAACAAAACCACAATGAGATATCACCTCAATGCAGTTAGTATGGCTATAATTAAAAAGACTTAAAATAACAAGTGCTGGAGAGGATGTGGAGAAAAGTGAACCCACACACATTGTTGGTGGAAATGTAAATTCGTACAGCCACTTTAAAAAACAGTATGAAGGTTTCTCAAAAAATTAAAAATAGAACTCCCATATGATCCACCAATTCCACTACTGGGTAGATATTCAAAGAAAATGAAATTGGTATGTTGAAGAGCTATCTGCACTCCCATGTTTATGGGAACCATATTCACAATAGTCAAGATATGGAATCAACCTCAGTGTCCACCAGCAGATGAACTGATAAAGAAAATGTGATATATATACACAATGGAATACTCTTTAGCCATAAAAAGAATAAAATTATTTCATTAGGAACTACATGAATGTGCTACAGAAGACATTATGTTAAGTGAAATAAGCCAGGCACAAAACACAAATACTGAATGATCTCATTAATATGTGGAATTTCTAAAAATTGATCTCATAGAAGTAGAGAGTAGAAAAGTGGTTTCCAGAAGGAAAGGAGAGTAGGGGAAAGGAGAGAATAGGAAAAGATTTGTCAAAGGATACTAAATTACAGTTAGGAGAAATAAATTCAAGAGACCTATTGTACAGTAAAGTGACTATAATTAATGATGATTGGATTCTTAAAAAAATGCAGAAAGAGTAGATGTTGAGTGCTTTTCCTACTAAAATGGTAACTAGGTGAGCTAATGCAATTGTTAATTAGCTAGACATCATAATCCCACAATGTATATATACTTCAAAATATTATGGGCACATGATAAAAATATACAATGCTATCTGTAAAATTTTAAAAATAAAATAATAATTTCTAAACATTATAAAAAGAAGAAATTTGAAACACAACACCATTTACATTAGCACCCAAAATTAAAATACTTAGGTATAGATCTAACGAAATATGAACAAGACATATATGAGAAAAACTATAAAACTCTAATAAAAAAATCAAAGAAGAAATTAATAAGTGGAGACATATTCCACATTCATGCATTAAAAGGCCTGATATTGTCAAGATGTTGGTTCTTCCAACTTGATCTATAGATTCAATGTAATCCCACTCAAAATCCCAGCAAGTGACTTTGTATTTATTAAGAAACTTTTCCTAATAGCTAAAGGAAGAAACAAAAGACCCAGAACAGCTAGAGCAACAGTGAAAGAGAATAACAAAGTTGGAGGACTTATACTACCTGAATTTGACATTTATTATAAAACTACAGTGATGAAGACAGTGTGGTATTGCTAATAGACAAACAGATTAACAGGAGAGGCTAGAGCCCAGAAATAGTCCCACGTACATATAGTCAACAGATATTTGACAAAGAAGCAAAGGCAGTAAAACAGAGCAATAATAGTCTTCAACAAATGGTGCTCAAACAACTGCATATCCACGTGCAAAAAATAAATAGACATAAACCTTAAGTCCTTCACAAAAAGTAACTTAAAATGAATCACAGACTTAAATATAAAATGCAAAACTATAAAACCCTAAGATGACATAGGGGAAAACCTAGATGATGTTGGGCATGGCGATAACTTTTTTAGATAAAACACAAAAGCCACAATTCATAAAATAAATCATTGAAAATTCAAACTTTATCTTAAAGAAATCTGCTCTGTGAAACACAATGTCAAGAGGATGAGAAGACAAACCACACACTGGAAGAAAATATTTGACAAAAATACATCTGATAAAGAACTTATCCATTGCCAGGTCCAGTAACTCCCACCTATAATCCTAGCACTTAGGGAGGCTGAGGTGGCAGGATTGTTTTAGGCCAGAAGTTCAAGACTAGCCTGGGCAACACAGCAAGATTCCATCACTAAATTAAAAAGAAAAAAAAAAACTTATTTAAAGTATGTAAAGAACCCTTAAGGGCCGGGCATGGTGGCTCATGTCTGCAATCCCAGCACTTTGGGAGGCTGAGGTGGGCGGATCACCTCAGGTCGGGAGTTTGAGACCAGCCTGACCAACGTGGAAAAACCCTGTCTCTACTAAAAATACAAAATTAGCTGGGCATGGTGGTGCATGCCTGTAATCCCAGCTACCTGGGAGGCTGAGGCAGGAGAATCACTTAAACCCGGGAGGTGGAGGTTGCCGTGGGCCGAGATCATGCCATTGCACTCCAGCCTGGGCATCAAAAGCAAAACTTCATCTCAAAAAAAAAAGAAAGAAAGAAAGAAAAGAAAAAAAGAACCCTTAAAACTCAACAATAAGAAAACTAACAACATAATTAAAAATGGGCCAAGTACCTTAAGTGACACCTCACCAAGGAAGAAATATAGATGGCAAATAAGCATATGAGAAGATGCTCCATATCGTATGTTGTTAGGGAAATATAAATTAAAATAATAAGTTACCCCTGCACACCTACTTGTATGACTGAAATATGAAACGCTGACATCACCAGTTTCCGGAGAGGATGCAGAGCAATAACGGATTTTTAGGGCAGTGAAAATACTCTGTAAGACGCTATAATGATGGACACAGTTATTATACATTTGTCCAAACTCACAGAATGTACATCACCAAGAGTGAACACTGAGATAAACTATGGACTTTGGGTGATGATTATGCATCAGTGTAGGTTCATTAGTTGTACAAAATGTACCACTGTGGTGTGGGATGTTGATAAGGGGGAGGCTGTGTATGTGTGCAGGCAGGAGGCACATGGGAAAGCTCCTTAACCTCCTATTTTGCTGTGAACCTAAAACTGATGTGAAAAAATAAAGTGTCTTCTGGGTGGGGTGGTATGTGCCTGTAGTCACAGCTACGCAGGAGGCAGAGGCAGGAAGATTGCTTGAGGCCAGGAGTTTGAGACTATAGTGCACTATCATGGTACCTGTGAATAAACACTGCAATTCGGCCTGGGCAACAGAGCAAGACTCCATCTCTTAAAAAGAAACTTAAAAATTTTAAAAAGTCTTTAAAAGTCTTTAAAAATCAAAGTCAAATAGGATAGATATGCTATAAGGATGATACAGAGGCCATAGGTATATGAGTGTTTACTGAACATGTATATGTTCATAGGTATATGAGTGTTTACTGAACATGTATATGAAGAAGTCTCTCAACTTTCTCTTTATAATACAACATTCACAATACAATGTTAGGGGAAATTCAACATATCAAGTAAACAAAATGAGAGATGTAAAGATTTGAATCATTCAACTACATTCATGCACTCATATTCTTTTCAAATGCACAATTTATTAAGTGACTTTCCATTAGGGCACCATAAATAAATTAAATAGACTATTTACCAAAAGAAAAACAACCTAAATAAGAATCATGTATTTAGAAACTGTAAAATGGCTTTCTAATTTGCTATGGTATTAGGACAATATAAAAGAGAGACTGTGATCTCACTCCATTGATGAAAGAAATAGAGATAGAGAGATCAGGAAATAAAAATTGTTTAATAAGAGGAAACTACTTTTCAAAATTGTAGGATATAGCCACAAGTATATTTATAGAAGGGGCAAAAATTGGGGCCTGGATTCAATACTTGTCACAAAAATACATTTAAAGAAAAGGTAGATAATATGTCTAGGGAAATATGAGCTGTCTGAGAAAAACAAACTCCTTAAATAAAGTAAAATGAAACAAGCAAAATGAAAGTATGTTGTCAGATAAAAAAATTATTAATTTCTCATACAGTAAAATTTAAAATAAATATATAACCCCCAAATGAGGACTTCATAGTTAACATAAAGGAGAAAAATATAAAGAGAAGTAAGTAGGAATAATAAGTACAAATATAAATATCTAGAAAAAACACTAAAAAATGTTTTAATTAACAGATCTGACATAACTAGTTATTGATTACTCTGATGAATGTAGAAGAATTGTCTCAGAGAAAATCCAGATAAGACTTCAACATAATAGCATCACCAGAATGAAATAAATAAGTATACATATGAAGAGTATATATTTGAAGAAACAAGTGTTTTCCTTATGTGAAGCAGGATTATAGTCCCCCCTTAAAAATGTAACATGATATATTAGGAAAAATCTAAACATAGACATATTTGTGAAGTTTAATATCAAAGACAAAGAGAAAATTCTAAAACCTTCCCCAAATAATAAAAAAGGTCTCTTACAAAATCCAAAGTATTATATTTTCATCTACTAAAGGGCAACACTGGTATGATTTATTTTATCTTCATTTTTTAAGGTAAGGAAACCGAAAGCTCAAATTATTTGCTCAAAAAAAATTAATGAGAGTCATTAAATGTTGAGAGGCTCTGATATTCATCACCACACACATGGGTGCATGCTGCTGCATGTAACTGGTTATCATTCATCCTTCAACTAGCATCTACCTAGCTAACTTTATGTGCCATGTACCAGACAATGCTCTAGGCACTTGAGATACATCAGGAAATAACAACAACAAAAAAAAATCCCTGCTTATGGGATCCAGAACTAGAAATACCATTTGACCCAGCCATCGCATTACTGGGTATATACCCAAAGGATTATAAATCATGCTGCTATAAAGACACATGCACACGTATGTTTATTGTGGCACTATTCACAATAGCAAAGACTTGGAACCAACCCAAATGTCCATCAATGATAGACTGGATTAAGAAAATGTGGCACATATACACCATGGAATACTATGCAGCCATAAAAAAAGGATGAGTTCATGTCCTTTGTAGGGACATGGATGAAGCTGGAAACCATCATTCTCAGAAAACTATGGCAAGGACAGAAAACCATACACCACATGTTCTCACTCATAGGTGGGAATTGAACAATGAGATCACTTGGACACAGGAAGGGGAATATCACACACCAGGGCCAGTTGTGGGGTGGGGGGAGGGGGGAGGGATAGCATTAGAAGATATACCTAATGTAAATGACAAATTAATGGGTGCAGCACACCAACATGGCACATGTATACATATGTAACAAACCTGCACGTTGTGCACATGTACCCTAGAACTTAAAATATCATAATAAAAAAAATCTCTGCTTATGAGCAAATTATACTTTAGGATAAGAGTGTATGTGTGCAGGGAAGGGGTGGGGAGAGAGCAGATACTGAAAATAATCATAATAAATAAGTAAATTACATAGCATGATGGAAGGTCATCAGCATCATAGTAAAGAGGAAAAAGAGCAAACTCGGGCAGATCAATAATACTGGTGGGTAACAGTAGAGAGCTCAGGCTGGGCCTTGAGTAAGTAACTTTTGAGCACAGATTGGTAAAACAATAAGAAAGTGAGTCTCATAGATATTTCGGAGAAGAGAGTCTAATAAAAGAAAATTCCTAGCGTGCCAACTCTGAAGCAGAACTGTGGAGTATATATTCTAGAACAGCATAGATGCCTGTGTGGTTGGAATGGAGAATGGGAAGATGAGATCAGTGAGAGATAACAGCAAAATATGACTGGAAACTAGACTTCAAAGGGTCCTGGAGCAGCCTTTTTGAGGCCCTTGACTTTCTGTCTAGGACAGAAAAAAATGGATCTTAGAATATTTACTAGGTAAATGCGGGTTGTTTTTCAAAGAGATACACAAATTCACATTTCCATTGCTAATGCATCAGAGTTCGTTTCACTCCATATCCTCATTCAAACATAGTATGTTCACTCATTTAAATATTCGCTGAAAAATAGCAAGTATGGAGTACAACCTAATGGTTTTATTTTAATTTCCATGATTATTATCCATATGCAGTATTATTTGATATGTTTATTGATCATCCATACTTTCTACTCTGTTAACTATCTGTTCAGGCCTTTTGCAGACATTTTTTTTCTGTTGGGTTATTTTCCTTTGTCTTAATGATTCCTAAAGATTGTGTATATATTTACTTACTGATTCAGTTCCACATCCAATTACCCACATGACCTTTCCACTTGAATGGCTTTTAGACATCTCAGATGTACAGTATTCTGATATTTCCCTATCCCATATCTGTTCCAGGCACATCTTTGCCTCCCACTTCTGATCACAATGGTACCCCTTAACACCTCTGGCCCAAAGCCTTGGGGTCACCCATGAGTGCTGTCTTCTGTACACACGCTACAGCCAGTCTACAATATTTCTGTTGGCTCTACCTCCAAAGACATCCAGAATCCGGCCGCTTCTCACCATAGTCACTGCTACCTACCTGCTTTGGGCCACTTATTCTTCGTGTATTTATGAAATGTTTATGTAATCTTGCTGCTTCTACCCCTGACCCTCAGCAACCTACTCCCTACAGAGTAGCAAAAATAATATGTGTACTTCTTCTCTGCACAAGACCCTATATTGACTTCCCATCTGCCTTAGAATAAAAGTCTTAACAAAGAGCCTTTTCTAGATAGCAGAAAACTGGAGGACAGAAAATACAAATAGTTATTTTTAAACAGTGAAATGCTATGTAACAGTTATATATTTTTAAAATGTCTTAACCATCAGTACTTGCATGAATGAATCTCCCAAGCAAAATGTTAAGTGCAAACAAACAAAATGCTTTTGATATGATTCTCAAGAGACATGCACACAAATATTTGAAGATATGGGCATTTATGATAAAAGTGTAAAGATAAATGATTTACAAAACAAAATTAAGAATGTTGTGGTTCTCCAGAGAAGATGGGAGGAGAACACCAGGAGCTCAAATAAATTGTTGATATATATTTCTTCTATGTGTAGTAATTACAGGTTATTTTATTTTAAATTTGTAAATATTAATTAGATGGATTTTGTGTACAATATATTTCATAATATGAACTAAAATAATTTTAATTTTAAAAGTGTCAAAAATGTATTCCAAAGCCACAATGAAGATCTCATTTTGATGTTCTACTGAATCACATTAATGAGTTCACCACTGTCCTCCCACTCCTGATACAAACACAGACATCCTTCTAATAAGTAAACGGTCTGTATATTGTGTATGAGAATTGCACCCCATCCCAGAGGTAACCTAAATATGGCAAACACTCAATAAAATATATACAAAATGAGACCAACTCATTGCTGTGAATTTTCTAATCACAGCAGTCCAATGACTATATAAAGAGGTGATCGCTTCCATAATGAAGCCTGTATTAGTCCATTCTTACATTGCTATAAAAAATACCTGGACAGTGTAATTTATAAAGAAAAGAAGTTTAATTGTCCTAAGGTTCTATGGGCTGTGCAGGAAGTGTGATTCTGGTATCTTCCAGGCTCCTGGGGAGGCCTCAGGAAGCTTCCAATCAGGGCAGAAATCAAAGAGGGAGCGAGGCATCTCACATGTTGGGAGCAGGAGCAACAGAGAGAGAGCGGGGAGGGGCTATACACTTTTAAACAACCAGATCTCAAGAGAACTCACTCAGTATCATAAGAACAGCCCCAAGAGGATGATGGTAAACTATTCATGAGAAATCTAGCCCCATAATCCAATCACCTCCCTCCAGGCACCACCTCCAACACAGGGGATTACAATTTGAAATGAAATTTGGGTGGGGACCCAGGTCCAAACAATATCAAATCCACAGATAGCTATCTAAAAGAGCAATAAAATATTACTTTACGATAATAAATTTAAGACCTCACTTGTGGGGTCCAAAACAAGCAAAAAGATCATAAGGACACATCGCTGTAGGTGTCACAGGAAAACTGAAGTTATAAATTGAGGTCAATTGCACAGGAATCTCAGCTCCGTCTATGGACACCTACCTAAGAAAAATAATGTTCTTCTAAAATCTATGTGTATTTAGGTATTAATACAAAGGTTTACTATGACAAAAAACTCCTCTCTCTGCAGACCTGGAACAGGTAAAATATGACAAAGTAGGTAGAGGTGAACTATAAATTTGCTGGCTCTTTCACTAGAGGCAGGCACATTCCCATATATAAAGGTGAATAAAGGGGCCATGTGAGAGACAGAAGACTAAAGCAGGACACTTGGTGTGAAGCTAGAGTAGGTGGTGGGCTTCTGGCCTATGTAAAAGGGGCTTAATACACAGGAGTCAAACTACTGTCTGCAGTTAATTTATTTTATTATATTTTTAATTGAAAAATAAGAATTGTGTATATTGATGGAGCACAATGTGATATTTTAATACATGTTTACATTGTGGAATGATTAAATCATGGTAATTAACAAATCTATCACCTCATACACTTCTATTTTGTGTTGGAAACGTTTAAAATCTATTTTCTTTAGCAATTTTTAAATATATAATGCATAATTATTTATTATAGTCATCATTCAGTGCAATAGATCATTAAAGCTTATTTTTCCTGTCTCACTGAAATTTTATAATCTTTGATAAAAATTCCCCTTCAGTATCCATCCCCTAAAACCTAAATATTTAAATTAGTATTAGCATCTGTTATATATGATATAATAACAACAACAATAAGTTAAACATGTGTGGGAATGAAATAGTCTTTTAAATTGGCACAATGAAAAAAATGAGGTGAGAAGATTGTGGGAGGCCCAAGATATATTTCAATCCAAAAGACATCTTTAAGCAGTCGGGAAGGTGGGACATTGAGTAGAAAATGATAAAAAGTAACTGAGGTTAGGAGCATACTCATTGAAGTAGCAGGAAAGAAATATAATGTAAGCCAGCAAGAAAGAGAGATAATGTAACGCACAAATAAAATTCTGAGTGCCCCAAGTGACTGAATGGATCCTCCTCTTAACCAAGGGGATCCCAAGAAACCTGAAGAAATAGCTCAGGCCATAATGGAAAAGGCGGGTCACACATACCCTCATCCCTGTGGAGTTTAGGCACAAGGGACCAGCATTAACACTAAACTAGAGATCATAAGGCTGACAAAACAGATTCTTTGTAGCAGTGAGATACCCAACTCCGACCTGACTCTGGTATGGGATCACATGATAGAGAGCAGGCCTTGAAGGAAATCAAAGTATTTTGTCCCAAAATATATTCTCTTTGACATATTTTGAAATGTCCCTGCAAAGCCCTCTCTCGTAAGAGGAATTTGTATTCTGTAGGGAATCTCCTTCACTTACCAGGTCTTTCCCAGATTTTTTTAAGATCTGATAAGATACATTTACCATCCATTCTCTCTGAAGCCTGTTACTTACAGGCTTCACGGACATAACAAGAACCTTGGCTTCCACTACCCCCCTCATCTTGACTCAAGCATTTCTTTATGCTGACTTCAACTCTTCTCAGGCAAAACTTAACTTTTTCAACCCATTGCCAATCTTTGGAAATCTTTGAATTCACCCAGGACCTGAAAAGCCCTCTCTCACACCCTACCTTCTAGATGTCTCACCTTTCAGGGCCGAACCAGTGTACACTTTACATGTATTGATTTATGTCTGCCTGTAACTTCTGTCTCCCTAAAGTGTACAGAAGCAAGCTGTAACCCAGCTACCTTGGGAACCTGTCTCCCTAAAATGTGTAAAAGTGAGCTGTAACCCAGATACCTTGGGAAGCTGTCTCCCTAAAATGTATAAAAGGGAGGTGTAACCCAGCTACCTGGGCACCTGTCTCCCTAAAATGTGTAAAAGTGAGCTGTAACCCAGCTACCTGGGCACCTGTCTCCCTAAAAAGTGTAAAAGCGAGCTGTAACCCAGCTACCTGGGCACCTGTCTCCCTAAAATGTATAAAAGCGAGCTGTAACCCAGCTACCTGGGCACCTGTCTCCCTAAAATGTGTAAAAGCGAGCTGTAACCCAGCTACCTGGGCACCTGTCTCCCTAAAATGTGTAAAAGCGAGCTGTAACCCAGCTACCTGGGCACCTGTCTCCCTAAAATGTGTAAAAGCGAGCTGTAACCCAGCTACCTGGGCACCTGTCTCCCTAAAATGTGTAAAAGCGAGCTGTAACCCAGCTACCTGGGCATCTGTCTCCCTAAAATGTGTAAAAGCGAGCTGTAACCCAGCTACCTGGGCACCTGTCTCCCTAAAATGTGTAAAAGCGAGCTATAACCCAGCTACCTGGGCACGTGTTCTCAGGACCTCCTGAGACTGTGTCATGGGCCATGGTCATTCACAATGGGCTCAAAATAAACCTCTTCAAATATTTTACAGTTTTGCTTTCTGCATCAACAAAACCAATGGAGTTTGTGTTACTCAAGAAGTTTTCTTGTTTAATCAATACTTTTCTCTACACGAGGGCAGAAATTAAAACACTTTAACTGATAAAAATAATTTGGTAGATTAAAATAAGTCAATTCAATCTATCCTAGGATTTTTGTTTTTCACTGACTTGACTGAACCTTTCAACAAATTGAAAACTTTTTTGTTAAGAATCTAGCCCAAGATCTTGAGCTTTATAAATACATAAAACGTATGAGCTAACTTTAAATAACCAAATAGCTACTTTTGAAGAGAGCTGAATATGTCTTTCCACACTTTATTATTAATGGTATTTTTAGTACAGTGACAATTTTATTATAACTGCTGAGACACAGTCACAATACTAAAAGAAAGATTCCAGTTATGAATCTGGATTGTTTTCCAAATACTGAAATTGGTACTTATATGAGGGAACTAGGACTATTCTCGGAAGGATCAGTTTATTCCAGTGAATAATAATCATATGTGGATAAACGTCATGGAACATAAGCATGGTTGTTAAATGAGCCCAAAGCTATCAAGAGGGACTCATTTTGCTGTTCTACCTCAAATTAATGGAACACACTATTGTCTTCCTATTCACAAATACAGACACAGTGTGTTTAATAATAAGCAGATAGTCCAGCACTTTGTATGAGAATTGCATCTGGTCCCAGGTGAAACCTTAAACTTTTTGTCAAAATTTGTCTGATTTCACTGTTGCCAAGATGCCTTTGAATGAACTTGGGGCTTCATTACTGTCCAGAATGCCAGGGAGAGCTAAGTTAGAAACCCAAAGGATATTATAACAAGTTCTTCTCCTCCTGGGATCCCAACTGCAGGTGCCATTGCTTGTCGTTTCCTCTATTTAATTAAAACTTTTTAACTGGTATATTGTAGCACTCTAACAAGTCCCCTGGCACACCCAGAGCAGAGGTTTAACTGGCAGGGATCCAAGCTCCAGGAAGTTGCCAAGTAAAGAAAACAAAGCTGCTTTCAAATCCCTCTTCCCCGGTCTTTTGTATTTTGTGAGAGACTATTTAAACCATTGCTCAGCCCCTGTGGCTTTCACCTACCCCTATTATAATTTTTAAGAACTCTCACTGGGAGGCCAAGTGAGTGTCAAATGAGAGAAACTAGACTACCTCAAGAGAGTAACTCTGGGAACTGTATCTATCAGAATAAAGCAATCACATTTTGAGTTAAAGTTGTTGGGTAATAACCGATGCTTTTTCTTTGTTCCCCCACCACAAAGTTGTCTTGTTGTTGCTGTTTTTCGTATATCATCAGAATATTGGAGGGTGGAAGGAGAGGTCAGAATATTTAACTCTACTTCTTCCTGCCAGCCTATGGTCTGGCAATTGCCCTCTTCCTTTGCCTAAGTTCACAGCTACCATTGTCAGTCAATAAAACCACTCTTTCTTCTTACCCATTCAGATTTCATCTTGTTAATTCTATTATGTGACATTATTGCTTGTTGGATCTCTTAACCTTAATAACCATGTGTAAATAACCATGTTCTTTCATTAAAATCTCTTCTCAACTCCTTTGCGCAGGCCATCTGTTTTCTACCAGCTCCCAATTAATTCTCCAATAGAGACCCTAAGAACCTCACAAAACACATCAAAGTGGGTCCTTGAATTGGTTTGCTCGCCTTTATAACTTTATAATAACTTTAGACTGATAAGCCTAGATTAATTTGGAAGGATACAGAGTTACATTACCAATTGAATATGTGACCATCCAAGTTCTCTTGTGCTACAGGAAAGACATGGATTGGGAGGAGTGTGATCCTGAGAAATGGGTTGCAGACAGTTATATAAACAAAGACAAGAGTGGCAACTTTGAAACTGAAAACACTGAACATTACTTTTGGGTGTAAGAATTTCATACCCCCCACCCTGATTTGAGACAATCAGCAACTCTATACGTAAGTCTTTTCGTTTGCTTCAACTGGGTAAGTTATTCCCATGTTTGCCAGCATCTTTCACTTCCTCTAAAGCATAGGAGATTGAGATCCAGCTTCGCAGAGAAGGAGAAGTAGAGAACATGCACTGAGGAATATGGCTCATGTACTAAGAGAGCTGTAGGTCTTGACATTTTTCTTGGCATAAGTCCGAGGAACAACTATGGATGTACATTCTATGGCTTTTAGACAAAAGAAGATGTAATATAAGACTAAATATGGTAATATTCATTACCATGGGTATACTCCTGAAGGATTTATAACTTAATATGTTGGTTTAAGTGTCTGAAAAGAGCATTCATAGTCTTCTATGTTGACTAATTGAAATCCGGACTTAAAGGAGGCCTATAGTAAATGAGTATGAGATGCTAGAACTTCTGTGTCAAAGTATAGCAAGATGAATACTAAGGCTTAGTGAGATGGGTATTTATTATGGTCACTCTACCCAACTACTTGTTATCTGTACTTATGGGAGGGCCCAAAGGCCACTGTTGTTGTTGCCTTTATTTTAAATCATATTAATTTTTTTTTATTTTTAAGCAGAGCACCAGGATCCTAGAAAAGCTTGTGGCTGTCCTCAGTAGTCCATAAATAACAGTGAGGAATTACATATTGATTCCATTGGCCTCTCTGATATCAAAGAGTTTTAGAGATGTTGAAGGGGCATAAAACTCAGAGATAAGGTAGACATATCTCTGGCAGATGGTGAGCTCAGTTTCTGGGTATTCCAAACTTTCATCAAGTTCTGAGAAGCATGCCTGCTCCACCTGACCCAGTCATGACAAACTAAATACATCCCTGCATTCTGGGATAGCTCACTGAACAGCAGCTCTAACACCAGCTGCCATGCACCTTGACATTGCTCCCCTCCAGCCAAAGCTTATAAATGACAACAAGTGACACAGAGAAACCAGGGCTGTTTTCTGTCTTTATGCAAGTAAATACAGCATATACTCCTGGTAAAGTTAAAATTATACCTTCTCCTTTTAAGCCTTTTGGTTGAAGGTTTACAAAAACATGACAACTTTTGAAAATCAGATCTCTAATCCAGATAACTGAAAGAAAAAGAAAGGAAAATGTATAAAAAATAATATTGTCCGTAATACTGTCAATTCAAAACTTTACCTCAAAATTCTTTTCACTCATGAAGTAATGTTTATTAACTGTTCTTACTGAGAAGAAACTTGCTCAGGAGAAGCAAATATTCCAGAGAACAGAAATTCAGTCCAAATCTTTTTTTTTTTTTTTTTTTTTTTGAGACGGAGTCTCGCTCTGTCACCCAGGCTGGAGTGCAGTGGCACGATCTCGGCTCACTGCAAGCTCCGCCTCCCGGGTTCACGCCATTCTCCTGTCTCAGCCTCCTGAGTAGCTGGGACTACAGGCGCCCACCACCACGCCTGGCTATTTTTTGTATTTTTAGTAGAGACGGGGTTTCACCCTGTTAGCCAGGATGGTCTCCATCTCCTGACTTCGTGATCCGCCCACCTCAGCCTCCCAAAGTGCTGGGATTACAGGCGTGAGCCACCGCGCCCAGCCCGTCCAAAAATATTTTTAATGGAAAGATCAAAGATTTTTTCTTAAATAATTACAAATAGATAAAAATACACATTTTTAACATAATTTAAATTTTAATGATGAATCAGGATAATTAACATAAACAAACCATTCTTTCCATTTCTAAAGTATATCACTCATAACAGCTTTCTCTGAGACCTCTACAGATATTAGAGAACAAAAAAAGTGGTGGAATAATTTAGTTTTTAGGACATTTAACATATTAATATGTATAGCAACTTTCTTGGAAAGGATTATACTAAATAGTATTTCCCACATTTTAGCAGCTTTTTTTTAAATTTATTTTCAAAGATCATCCTGTAGGAAGGCATTACTAGATGTATACTTTGGAATACACTGCCACAGAGGTGGCTATTTAAAAAGGGGAGTAATGTGGAAGAAAGGGACAAATGAGGCTTCCCATCTCTGAGCTGCTTTGGTCTATAACTTCCCTGAAATGACTTTCCAGAAAAAGACCTTGATGTCTGCTTTCCTTTGGAGATTTTTCCGTTTCACATAAAGGCAGGGTACCACAGGTGTCACTGTGATGCACAGGAGCAGGCAATCGAGTGCCTTTTTTGAAAACTATGGTCAATAAGCCAGATCAGCCTTCTCCCCATCAGTGTCCATTCCTGTGTGTTCCTATGGGCTGACCTCTTACAGGTCAACAGTCTGCAGAACATGACTCAAAATCTCACCTGAAGGACCACGTTTCTAACCTACACTTCCTTGACAGGGTGTAAAGGACATCCTTCACCATTCCAAAAATTCTACATTTCCAACTACCACCCAACTCACACTAATCCCCTCCAAGGCTGGCTCCCTTCCAATACTTATCTCTCATCTCTATTCTGTACCTCATTTAATAGTATCACCATCTACCTAGGCACTTCAGCTGGAAAGCATGGGGAAAATGTCTGTCTGTCTCTCTCTCAGTCACATGTGCCATTAACCTCTAGGCCCCAGCATGTCCATCCTCCAATCTCCCTCAAATCTAACTTGCTCTTCTCCATTTCCAATCATACTAACTCTCAACATCTCCTGGCTTTATAACAATCTCCCATCTGGCCTCCTGGCTTTCTCTACATCATCTTCATTCTAGCTTCACTTCTGAATCACACATCTGAGCATGCTGCTACAGTTCTTTTTTTTTTTTTTTTTTTTGAGACGGAGTCTTGCTCTATCGCCAGGCTGGAGTGCAGTGGCGCAATCTCGGCTCACTGCAACCTCCATTTCCTGGGTTCAAGCAATTCTCCTGCCTCAGCCTCCCAAGTAGCTGGGATTACAGGTGTCTGCTACCACGCCCAGCTAATTTTTGTATTTTTAGTAGAGACAGGGTTTCACCATGTTGGCCAGGATTGTCTTGATCTCCTGACCTCATGATCCACCTGCCTTGGCCTCCCAAAGTGCTGGGATTACAGGCATAAGCCACCGCTCCTGGCCAGTTCTCATTTTCATGTACATATTCCCACTAAATTTTAAAGCAAGCCTCTTAGAACTAGTTGATGCCTTGCACCGGTGCTTCACAAACATGTATAAGAAGATTCATATGAGGACTGTTGCTCACAACAAAAATTTACAAACGACCCAAATTATGTGACATAATCAAGTGGAATAATAGGCAGCAAGGAAAAACAAATTAAACTGTACACACAGTTGGATATTAATAACATACTACTGAGTGAAATAAGCTAGCTCCAAGTTGCTCTATACAGAATAATAAGCTTCTTATGAAGTTCATAAATGACTAAAAGTAAATAGAATATTGTTTAGGTGCTATATTTAGGCTACACATACATGTGAACATATATACACAAACAACACATATACATACATACATAAATGTATAAATACATGCACACTGACGAAACTATGAAAACTACAAAAAAGGCAACAGAACAATCAGCACAAAGAGGTAAGAGAGACAGGCATACAGGCTGCAGAGAAAATGTACAGAGGTAAATACGGACAATGTTGTTATTCTCTGGTTGGGTGATATCATCATATATGACCATGCTATTGTTTAGCTAATTATTAAAAGAAAGCCATGCATGAGCTAAGAATTATATGTCCAATTCAGTATAGCTAAGGTATAGTGAAAGGAAGGGAGGCAGGAAGAGGGTGAGAAAAGAACTGTGTAATGCAGGAAGAAGTTTCCACGTTTAAAAGAGGACTTGAGGCCGGGCATGGTGGTTCATGCCTGTAATCCCAGCACTTTGGGAGGCCGAGGCAGGTGGATGACCTGTGGTCAGGAGTTCAAGACCAGCCTGGCCAACGTGGTGAAATCCCATCTCTACTAAAAATACAAAATTAGCCAGGCGTGCTGGCAGGCGCCTGTAATCCCAGGTACTCGGGAGGCTGAGGCAGGAGAATCGCTTGAACCCTGAAGGCAGAGGTTGCAGTGAGCCGAGATCACGCCATTGCACTCCAGCCTGAGCAACAAGAGCGAAACTCCGTCTCAAAAAAAAAGAAAAAAGAAAAAACAAACAAACAAAAAAAGAGGACTTGAAAAAGACCTAGAGCAAAACCATGTTAATGGAAACCAGCTATGTGGGTCTGACAGTCAATGCTTTTGGTAAACTGTAATCTGTGGCCTATCTACAGGGAAGTGATTCTCCAAAAGAGCATTCAAGCAGCACAGATCACCCCAGCAGTGCTATCTGCTCCCTCCTCCTGAGCTTGCCAAGATTTGGGGGTTTTGCTTAGGCTTCCCCATTCCTCGATCCTAAAGCACTCCAAGCAAATAATGTTGGTACTGTTTATCCCTACATGCAATGTGCCATATGAAATCTTGAGAAAGTTGCCCATGTCAGTCTATTTTGTTTTTTAAAAAGGATGATTATAAAATAAAGTGAACATCTGAATCTCTGGCCAAGTGAACCTCAGCCTCCCTTATAAACCTCAATATGCTCATCTTCATTTACTACGAAGCAATAACTCTTCAAATTCTTAAGCAAATAATACAATATTCATTGCAATCTGGATCTCCCTACATGTCTTTCATTGATCAACTGTCAAGGACGTTAAGGAGATTCTCAAGACTCCTCAAAAGTTGGGGGCGTGTGTGTAAGGGGAGAGATTTGTGACCAATTAAAATGCAGGAAAGTTAAATAACATTTCCAACTTCCTGGTTTGAGGCACAAACACATTTGGTGTTGAAGGAAAAGGATCAGGAAGAAACAAAACTATAATTTATAGCTTAAGTATGGTCATGGGACAGGAAATAATGTGTGGCACTTACAAATTCCATGTCCAAGCCAGGAAAAGCAAAACAGAAACAAGGACCAAGAGGGTGGTAGTTAACCTAGAAAGACTGAGGACTAAGGAAGTCCCTACTGCTGACCGAGCCCATACCAAGCAAAACCAGCAAGTGACAAGCAGCTCTCAACCCCTTTGGCTTCCTGCCTACCCTGAGATATTCTTCCCAATAATTCAAATCTAAAAGGTTTTGAGCAGCATGGGAATTAAAAAAGAAAAGAAAAACCCACCTCTGTGAAAGAGTGGCTTATATACAGGTGATCGTTTTGGATGGCACACCTTAGCATTACTAAGTTAATGCATCAGAAAGGTCGCAAACCCATCCTCTGTAAATCGGGACAGAACTGTGCCCTCTACTTGTTTTCTGCCCGAGCTTCATTCTTGACTTCTGAAGTTAATTTTAATGGTTTAAGCCCTTCCTCTCTGTTTCCAAGAGTTTTGTTTAACTTTCTTTTATCCCCCACTCACACCCTGACAGATTATGGTATGAAATAACAAAAAGTCCATCGACTTTGAAATCAGATAGACCTGGGTTTAAATCAGATAGACCTGATGCTTCATCTCTGAATCTTATCTGTAAGCTTCTGCAAAATGGACTAGTAATAACTACTCCTGAAGTTCTTCTGAGTGTTAAATGAGATAATGTATGGAAACATATCATGTCTGTTGTAGTAGATATGCTACAGTGACACAGCACACCTACTCCAGGACAAATCATTCATGCCTCGGATAGTATCTGGAACAGTTAGCTACTTAACTGCAATCATCTTCTCAATACATTTACCAAAATACAGAAAAGTGCCATGCATCAGTTACTTGTGAAAATTCTATCTCCAGTCCCGATCTCTCTCCCTTGAGTTAGAGCCCTGGATTTGTGGCTACTTCGTGAATATTACTATCTACTAGTGACTTTAGAATTGGCTAGAATTCATTTTATGCCATTGCTATTAGAAATAGGAAAGCAGACCTCAACACATGAATTCATTTGGCCTTTGTTATATATACATAGACAGGATAGGAAGTAGGACTTAGGTCACCCACCTCTCTATTTCCTGTATTTCTCTAAGTGCTTCTTGATGTCTCTCCACCAGCTGGACCACATAGAAAAGCAAATTTATCACCACACTTCCTCCAAAATTAGCTCCCCCTCTGGACTTATTTCTGTTAATTGAACCTTAATTTTCCTGGTCTGATTCAGGACTTGCAATGTCCTTGGCAAGATTTTCTGCCTTCTTCTACACCCACCCACCAGTCCCTGCATCCATTTGTTACCAAACTACCATAATTTCGTCTTTCACAAAGTCTCCTGTCTATCCTTTCCTTTTAGTTTCACCTTGACAGCACACTCTAGAACCTCATTACCTCACACCAGGACAAAGGGGTCCTACCTAGACGCCCTTCCACCTGCCCATCTAATCCCAAACACTCTGTGCACACTGCCACTTTCACCATCCCATATCCACGCTTCGCAGAGACACCTGCAAAAACACTTGCAATGCAAGACTCAGCCACAACTGAGCCTCAGAGTGTGACATCTAGGGGACACCTTGACAAAGAACCACAGGAGAAACCAAAGAGGTGGGTAAAGAACCAGGAGAGAAGACTCCAGAGAAAGGTCAAGACCCGGGGGCAGGCACCAAAAAAAGAGATGAGAACGGCAAACTTTGCCCTTTCGCAGCCCAAAGTCCTCCAAGTAAATGTCAGAAGCCAGCAAATGCCTTGGGGAGCTGATACGGAGCCCTGACTCATCTCTGGAGGAGCAGAAGAGGTTAATCAGAAATCTGTGCAAGTAGAACAAGGGGTCGGAAGACTGATCTAGCTACACGGGAGGCCAAGGTGACGCGGAGGGACTCACTCACAGATGCTGAGGGCTCAGCAGGGTCCGCACGGGGTCTAAGGAACGCAGCACCGAAGCCATTCTGCGTTGCTCAAGCACTCCGCGGACACGCGCTCGGCTCTCACATCCTGGAGATGTTCGTTATCCCGGGAAGATGTTTATCAGAAGAGAATTTCAAACAGAATAAGTAACTTTTTAGTAAATGTCCTCAATTAAACTCCCGCCTTAAGGCAACTGTTGAATTTTCCCCAATGCTGGAGGATACATGTGATGACATGAAATGTTCCTATTTTCCAAAGTTTTCATCTACCAAGTCGTTCATGTACGGTTTAGCACCGTTAATATAAGTTCACTCCTCAAAGTAATAGGTTCTGTGACAGAAGATTCTTGGTCCTAAATTTCTGATTCAAAAATGGGAAAAAATTCCAAGATATAAAAGCTGTTCACCAGTATTCCGGTTAAATGTATAACATCATAGAACAATATGAGTGATCATTGAGTCACCTTTCCCAGATGTCTCACAGAAAACCTCCTCTGACTATAATGCCCATGGAAAATCATCTTAATTCCAGAAAGCGGGGGCTGACGGGACACTGTTGAGAGGGTGAGTCACGGAAAATCACGAATGGTGGCAGGCGCCCCGCCTCAGTTCCCCTCGGGAGAGGGCACCCGCCAGTGCGGACCGCCAAGGGGCGTCCAGGACAAGGGCGGTTGGGCTCCGCGGCCCCAGCGTCCGCCCAGCGCGCCCTCCCGCGCGGCCTCGTCCCAGCCTGGCCCAGGTTCCGAGTCCCCAGTCGCGGGCGTCGTGAGGCTCGAGCGAACCCCCAACAACCGCGCCTCGCCAGGGCCACCCCGCCGCTCTGCGAGGTTCCCGGCGGCCCAAGGGCGGGATCCTCAGGACGCAGGCGCGCGCCTCTGCCGCAGCCGGGGGAGGAGCGCGGCGGCAGCAGCGACCAGTAACCGTTAGTGGAGCAGCCCCGCCCCCACGGCCGCCAGGCCCGCTCCTCCCACTCCGCCTCCTGAGCTGGAAGCTGAGAGAACCCAGGGCCCGGGCTCCAACTTCCAAGCCTGTCGCAGAGCCTGGCAAGCTCCCTTCGGGGAAGACTAGACCGACGTGCCTTAACTATTAAGTTGAAAAAGCGAAGTAGTATAAAAAGGAGATAGAGTAATAAGTGCCAAAATACACTCTGATGCACTCGTCCCTTTTTCGTCTGTCTTCCAACTATTGTCATTTTTCCAGTCAGTTAATTTCTCCTCTGCTTTTCCTTCATTTTCCTGAGTTGTTCTTCGCTCTCTGCCTCTGCTTTTCCTTCATTTTCCTGAGTTGTTCTTCGCTCTCTGCCCCTCTCCCTCCTCCACTTTTCCCCTATGGCAGTGAATCAACTGTGTGACCCCAGCTGTCACAACTGCTGCTGAGAGGGTGTGGATAAGTCACAGCTCCCAGCTCACTTTCTCACCTGTACAGCTGGACTGACCACACCCTCCTCCCGGGGTTATTGTGGGGTGGAGCAAGTCACCGATCTGGGAGGTGCTCATTTATTCTTATCATAAAATGGGGATCCCCCGCTATGGGCTGGGCACTGGTATCAGGACCCAGGAGCACAGTTCCTGGGCTCAGGCATCGCATAACCTCATGGGAACAGCAACCAGAGAAGAATTTCATGAGGATGAGCTCCATGCACTATCCTCACTCCAGGCCTCTTCCTTTTCCTTCGCTTTTACTTTGCATCTTAATGCTCAAGGCTAATGCCAGAAAAAAAGGTGAAGTACGCAAAGGGTGTCTAGAGCATCTCAAACTTCTTTATCTCAACTTTACCTCCCTCTCGTGATGGGCTCTGCTCTTTTCTCCACCCCATCCCCAATTCTGTGAAGTTCAGCAAATGCTAACTGCACAGTCCTTGTGCAGGCACTCTACCAGGTGCTGAGAAATCAAATAGCATAATTTCAATATAAAAGTGAGAGTACTGAAATCAAGGGAACATATCTAAGTCATCTGTTGCTGCCAAATGCCCAGATACTGTTTTCCATCAACAGAACTTTCCTGGGCCTCCACCATGGCTTTATGCCCCAGCAGGACAGAGCTGCCCTCCTGGTTGATTTTACATTTCTAATGAAATCTTTTTTTTTTCTTTTCTGTCCCCATTGTTTATATTCCCAAGCACACTGCAGAGCTCAGTTCCCAGCCAGATCAAGCTGCCACGTGACCTTGTTGGTTCTTCTTCCCGCCTGGGCTCTGCTCCAGTTCCTCAACATCCTTCCTGCTCATGGGGAAGGTCTCACCCCAAAGTGGCCCTGGGATTCCGTCTTGCATATTTTCATATGTGTGTGTGTGTGTGTGTGTGTGTGTGTGTGTGTTTGCAAACTAAACTGATTCACTCCCACCTCTTTAGACCTCCTTTAGAAAGGAGAACGCAGACTGGGTGGCTGTGAGCAGCACTTACCATTCTCCATGGCCTTGGTAGGGCCCCTTGAGCCCTGCTTGCTTCTTCACACAGAAAGGAAACTAAAGAGCTTTCTTGGCAATCAGTAACTCTCCCAAGCATATTTGTGTTTTCACACAGGATTTTAATTTCTACCACTGTAGGAGGCACTAGGTTCATGTTCTGGAAAAGTTAGTCCCCATGCTGCCTCTGAAATTGTATCCACAAAGACAGTTGTTCATTTTAAGTGGCAATTAGGATGGTGAGGAATTCAAAACCATGCCTAACAATAAGAACAGTAATAATAATAACCCCAGCCATTAATTGAGCTTTTAGTAGGAATCAAACATTCTTATTTAATCTCAGTGCTTTATAAACACTATCTTATTGAATCTTCACTGACATCCTATGAGACATTTTTATTCCTGTTTCACAGGGGTCTGTTGGGTGCACAGGAATCATGTCTTTCAAAGAGCACCAAGTGCAGAGGCCATGGCAAGGCCCCTGGACTCAAGTGGAAAGAAGAGGAGCAAACGTGTTCCCAAGCCCATGTTGAGACATCACCATTCCAAGGACACCCAGAAATAGCTGAGGAGGAATTTAAGGAGACAAGAGAAACATGGGATTAAGATCTTGTCAAGCAAGTGAAGATTTGGAGACATGGAGCTATGCATGTGAATATGCCTGGACATTCATGAACTTATTTACACTCATGAACTCCTGAAACCTAGGAGAGGTTGAAAAATTGCAAATCTACTTGCTCCTTCTCCGCACCCAGGCTCTACTTCTAAGTTATTGCCAACTGCTCATGGCTGAAAGCCCACATCCACTTCCGTCCTTCATCAGCCACATCAGGCTGTTAGTTTTCTTGGCCCTCCAACTGCCCACCTACTCTTCCCTGCCTGGGTTGGTTTTCAGACACTTGGACTTCACTGATCTGCTGTTCTTCTGAACAATGGACTCTGCTCTCCCATCTGAATTTTTGATACTCCCATTGTGTTATCATCAAAAATATATATTTGGGCCAGATGCAGTGGCTCACACCTGTAATTGTAACAGTTTGGGAAGCTGATGCTGGAGGAACCCTTGATGCCAGGAATTTAAGACCAGGCTGGACAACAAAGGGAGACCCCATCTCTACAAAAAATGAAAAAAAAAATTACCCGGGTATGAGTGCATGCACCTTAGTCCCAGCTACTTGGGAGGCTGAAGCAGGAGGATCGCTTGAGCTCTGACATGACCCTGTCTCAAAAGTTAGGGTCAAAATGTTTATCTATTTGGTCTTTGCCCTTGATTCCTGGCAAAAAGGCACCTGAAATTCTTGGAATTTCCTGAGTGATAGGAGTTTCTTCCATTATTCATAAACAGCCCCTTTTGATCTTACCTGAGTTAATGCTAAGAGGTGACTCTAGATGGCCCTTACATAGCTTCTAGATGGGTGCTGGTGGCCAGGGCAACCGACCACATGAATAGAGGGCTGAACTCTCAGCCCTACCCCCTGATCTGCAGGGAGGGGACAAGGGCTGGAGATTGAGTCCAATCACCACCAATTGCCATCAATCATGCCTATGTAATGAAACTTCAGTAAAACTCCTGAAACAGCGAGGCTGAGCTTCCAGGATGGTGAATACATTGAGGTGCTAGTGCCCCCAGAGAAGACAGGGAACCTCCATCCCCACCCCACCCCTTACCCTGTACATCTCTTCCATTTGGCTGCTCTTAAACTGTATCCTTTAAGATAAACTGTGACTGTAAGTAAAGCGCTTTCCTGAGGAATGAGCCATTCTAGAAAATTCTCAAACCTGGGGACAGGAGTGATGGAGTCATAGTTTGAAACAAACTACCAACCCTCACATTTTTAGTGAGCTAGGCAGAAGTGTAAATAGCCTGAGGACCCCATTTCTGGCCTGCATATGAAGTGGAGGTGGTCTTGGGGAACTGAGCCCTTAACCCCTGGGGTCAGCGCTAACTCCGGCTAGTGTCAGAACTGGACAGAATTGTTGGACACTGAGCTGGAATAAGAGAATTAGGGTACTGGTTATTGTTGGAATAATAACACCTATAATAATCAGGCTGTTAATATTTATCTTAAATAGATCCAACATTCCGCTGCTGCCAGGTGTTGAGGAAATGCACACACCCTCATGAGAGAGACACAAACCATCACAGAGCATCAGGTAAGCCCCTCCCACACCCTCCCATGCCAGCCAGAGCCACCATTGTCTCTTGCCAGGATTGTTCCAACAGCCCACAATGGTCCTTCCCAGTTCTTCCTTCGACCTTCTACAGGGCAGCTAGAAGGGCACTGTAAAATAATCGGTCAGATCACATCACTCCTCACAGCCCTGCAGTGGGCCCCTCTTTCCTCCATGGTGATCTGCTACTCAGCTGCCTCTTCACCTGCGTGTTCCACTTCCCTGGCCCTCACTCACTCCCCTCCAGCTATGCCAATCTCTTCCTCGTTCTTGGAACATGCCAGGCGGCTTTTACCTAGGGACTTTGCACATGTTTCTCTGTCTGGAACATTCTTCCACTAAATAGCTTAGGACCAATTCCCTTACCTCCTTTAAGCTTTTGCCTAAATTTCAGCTACTGCACAATGTCAACCCTGAAAATGCTATTTAAGACAATGGCATTCTCTAGATTCCTCCTCTTTGGACATCTCTGAAAAAAAAGGCATCTATAAGTCCTTGGGACAGACACTTGGGTGAAGGGGTGGCTGTGGGAGCAGCTTCAGCAGACTTAAACGTCTCTGCCTGACAGCTCTGAAGAGAACAGCAGATCTCCCAGCACATCCTTCAAGCTATGATAAGGGACACACTGCCTCCTCAGGTGGGTCCCTGACCCCAGTGCATTCTGACTGGGAGACACCTCCCCGTAGGGGCTGACAGACACCTCATACAGGAGAGCTCCAGCTGCCATCTGGTGGGTGTCCCTCTGGGACAAAGTTTCCAGAGGAAGGAACAGGCAGCAGTCTTTGCTGTTCTTCAGCCTCCGCTGGTAATACCCAGGCAAACAGGGTCTGGAGTGGACCTCCAACAAGCTCCAACAGACCTGCAGCAGAGGGGCCTGACTGTTAGAAGGAAAACTAACAAACAGAAAGGGAGTGTATCAACATCAACAAAAAGGGCATCCACTCAGAGACGCCATCTGAAGGTTACCAACATCAAAGACCAAAGGTAGATAAATTCATGAAGATGGGGAGAAACCAGCACAAAAAGGCTGAAAGTTCTAAAAACTAGAAAACCTCTTCTCCTGCGAAGGATCACAACTCCTCGCCAGCAAGGGAACAAAACTGGATGGAGAATGAGTGATGAATTGACAGAAGTAGTCTTCAGAAGTAGGTAGTAACAAACTCCTCCAAGTTAAAGGAGCATGTTCTAACCCAATTCAAGGAAGCTAAGAACCTTGAAAAAAGGTTAGATGAATTGTTAACTAGAATAACCAGTTTAGAAAAGAACATAAGTGACCTGATGGAGCTGAAAAACACAGCATGAGAACTTCGTGAAGCATACACCAGTATCAATAGCCAAATCGATCAAGCGGAAGAAAGAATATCAGAGATTGAAGATGAACTCAATGAAATAAAGCAAAAAGACAAGATTAGAGAAAAAAGAGTGAAAAGAAATGCACAAAGCCCCCAAGAAATATGGTACTATGTGAAAAGACCAAATCCAGGTTTGATTGGTGTTTCTGAAAGTGATGAGGAGAATGGAACCCAGTTGGAAAACACTCTTCAGGATATTATCCAGGAGAACTTCCCCAACCTAGCAAGACAGGCCAACATTCAAATTCAGGAAATACAGAGAACACCACAAAGACACTCCTCGAGAAGAGCAACTCCAAGACACATAATCATTACATTCACCAAGGTTGAAATGAAGGAAAACATGTTAAGGGCAGCCAGAGAGAAAGGTCGAGTTACCCACAAAGGGAAGCCCATTAGACTAACAGCAGATCTCTCTGCAGAAACCCTACAAGCCAGAAGAGAGTAGGGGCCAATATTCAACATTCTTAAAGAAAAGAATTTTCTACCCAGAATTTCATATCCAGCCAAACTAAGCTTCATAAGCGAAGGAGAAATAAAATCCTTTACAGACAAGCAAATGCTGAGAGGTTTTGTCACCACCAGGCCTGCCTTACAAGAGCTCCTGAAGGAAGCACTAAACATGGAAAGGAACTACTGGTACCAGCCACTGCAAAATCATGCCAAAATGTAAAGACCATCGACACTATGAAAAAACTGCATCAACTAACGGGCAAAATAACCAGCTAGCATCATAATGGCAGATCAAATTCACACATAACGATATTAACCTTAAATGTAAATGGGCTAAGTGCCCCAATTAAAAGACACAGACTGGCAAATTGGATAAAGAGTCGAGACCCATCAGTGTGCTGTATTCAGGAGACTCATCTCATGTGCAAAGACACACATAGGCTCAAAATAAAGGGATGGAGGAATGTTTACCAAGCAAATGGAAAGCAAAAAAACAAAAAACAAAAAAACAGGAGTTGAAATCCTAATCTCTAACAAAACAGACTTTAAACCAACAAAGATCAAAAGAGACAAAGAAGGGCATCACGTAATGGTAAAGGGATCAATGCAACAATAAGAACTAACTATCCTAAATGTATATGCACCCAATATAGGAGCACCCAGATTCATAAAGCAAGTTCTTAGAGACCTACAAAGGGACTTAGACTCCCACACTGTAATAGTGGGAGACTTTAATACCCCACTGTCAATATTAGACAGATCAATGAGACAGAAAATTAACAAGGATATCCAGAACTTGATCTCAGCGCTGGACCAAGCGGACTTAATAGACATCTGCAGAACTCTACACCCCAGATCAACAGAATATACATTCTTCTCAGCACCACATAGCACTTATTCTAAAATTGACCACATAATTAGAAGTAAAACACTCTTCAGCAAATGAGAAAGGACGAAAATCACAACAAACAGTCTCTCAGACCACAGTGCAATCAAATTAGAACTCGATATTAAGAAACTCACTCAAAACCACATAACTACATGGAAACTGAACAACCTGTGCCTGAATGACTACTGGGTAAATAATGAAATGAAGGCAGATGTTCTTTGAGACCAATGAGAACAAAGACACAATGTACCAGAATATCTGGGACACATTTAAAGCAGTGTGTAGAGGAAAATTTATAGCACTAAATGCCCACAAGAGAAAGAAGGAAAGATCTAAAATCAACACCCTAACATCACAATTAAGAGAACTAGAGAAGCAAGAACAAACAAATTCAAAAGCTAGCAGAAGACAAGAAATAACTAAAGTCAGAGCAGAACCGAATGAGATAGAGACACGAAAAAGCCTTCAAAAAATCAATGAATCCAGGAGCTGGGTTTTTGAAAAGATCAACAACATAAGTAGACCACTAGCCAGACTAATAAGAAAAAAGAGAACAATCAAATACAACACAAAAAAATGATAAAAGTGTTATCACCACTGATCCCACAGAAATACAAACTACCATCAGAGAATACTATAAACACCTCTATGTAAATACATTAGAAAATCTAGAAGAAATGGATAAATTCCTGGACACATACACCCTCCCAAGACTAAACCAGGAAGAAGTCAAATCCCTGAATAGACCAATAACAAGTTCTGAAATTGAGGCAGTAATTAATAGCCTACTAACCAAAAAAAGTCCAGGACCAGACAGATACACAGCCGAATTCTACCAGAGGTACAAAGTGGAGGTGGTACCATTCCTTCTGAAACTATTGCAAACAATAGAAAAAGAGGGAATCCTCCCTAACTCATTTTACGAGGCCAGCATCATCCTGATACCAAAACCTGGCAGAGACACAACAAAAAAGAAAATTTCAGGCCAATATCCCTGATGAACATCGATGTGAAAATCCTCAATAAAATACTGGCAAGCTGAATCCAGCAGCACATCAAAAAGCTTATCCACCATGATCAAGTAGCTTCATCCCTAGGATGCAAGGCTGGTTCAACATATGCAAATCAATAAACGTAATCCATCACTTCAACAGAACCAATGACGAAAACCACCTGATTATCTCAATAGATGGAGAAAAGGCCTTCAGCAAAATTCAACAACACTTCATGCTGAAAACTCTCAATAAACGACGTATCGATGGAACATATCTCAAAATAATAAGAGCTATTAATGAAAAACTCACAGCCAATATACTGAATGGGCAAAAACTGGAAGCATTCCTTTTGAAAACAGGCACAAGACAAGGATGCCTTCTCTCTCCACTCCTATTCAACATAGTATTGGAAGTTCTGGCCAGGGCAATCAGGCAAGAAAAAGAAATAAATGGTATTCAATTACGAAAAGAGGAATTTAAATTGTCTCTGTTTGCAGATGATACGATTGTATATTTAGAAAACCCCATCATCTCAGCCCAAAATCTCCTTAAGCTTGATAAGCAACTTCAGCAAAATCTCAGGACACAAAATCAATGTGCAAAAATCACAAGCATTCTTATACACCAATAACAGACAAACAGAGAGCCAAATCATGAGTGAACTCCCATTTACAACTGCTACAAAGAGAATAAAATACCTAGGAACACAACTTACAAGGGATGTGAAGGACCTCTTCAAGGAGAACTACAAACCACTGCTCAAGGAAATAAGAGAGGACACAAACAAATGGAAAAACATTCCATGCTCATGGATAGGAAAAATCAAGATCATGAAAATGGCCATACTGCCCAAAGTAATTTATAGATCCAATGCTATCCCCATCAAGCTGCCACTGACTTTCTTCACAGAATTGGAAAAAAAAAAAAACTACCTTAAATTTCATATGGAACCAAAAAAGAACCCACATAGCCAAGACAATCCTATGCAAAAAGAACAAAGCTGGAGGCATCATGCTACCTGACTTCAAACTATACTACAAGGCTACAGTAACCAAAACAGCATGGCACTGCTACCAAAACAGGTATACAGACCAATGGAACAAAACAGAGCCCTCAGAAATAACACCACACATCAACAACTACCCGATCTTTGACAAACCTGACAAGAACAAGCAATGGGGAAAGGATTCCATATTTAATAAATGGTGTTGGGACAAATGACTAGATATAAGCAGAAAGCTGAAACTGGATTCCTTCCTTACACCTTATACAAAAAAATAACTCTAGATGGATTAAAGACTTAAACATAAGACCTAAAACCATAAAAACCCTAGAAGAAAACCTAGGCAATACCATTCAGGACATAGGCATGGGCAAAGACTTCATGACTAATACACCAAAAGCAATGACAACAAAAGCCAAAATTGACAAATGGGATCTAATTAAACTAAAGAGTTTCTGCACAGCAAATGAAACTATCGTCAGAGTGAACAGGCAACCTACAGAATGGGAGAAAACTTTTGCAATCTATCCATCTGACCAAGGGCAAATATCTCAAATCTACAAAGAACTTAAACAAATTTACAAGAAAAAAAACAACCCCATCAAAAAGTGCACCAAGGATATGAACAGACACTTCTCAAAAGAAGACATTTATGCAGCCAACAAACATATGAAAAAAAAGCTCATCATCACTGGTCATTAGAGAAATGCAAATCAAAACCACAATGAGATACCATCTCATGCCAGTTAGAATGGTGATAATTAAAAAGTGAGGAAACAATAGATGCTGGAGAGGTTGTGGAGAAATAGGAATGCCTTTACACTGTTAGTGGGAGTGTAAATTAATTCAACCATTATGGAAGACAGTGTCGTGATTCCTCAAGGATCTAGAACCAGAAATACCCTTTGACCCAGCATTCCCATTACTGGGTACATACCCAAAGGATTTATATTCTTTATTCTACTATATACTTCATAGCTTTTTTATTTACTTCATAGCTCTTTGCACTTTTATTGCATTAATATCCTTATATGACTATTTTGCCTTCTTCTACCAGAAAGTAAGTTCCATGAAAGCAGAGGAATTTATTTTTATATTAACAAGGGTATCAATCAGTACTTAAAGTACCAGTGCTGCAGAATATATAGAGCATTTATTCGATACATGCAAGTGATGAATAAATAAATGCATAGTTCAAATTAATTGAAAGTGTTTATGTGGACTCACAGTGTAAATTTTAAGCTTTGCTGAGGACACAGATCATCTCTGTTTGTTATATCTCCCTAGGTATTGACTACAATGAATAGTTACCAGTGTTTTTAAAAGTATACTGATCTATACTAAGATTATTTTAGTCATAAAAATCCACAATGGGATAAAATGTAAGTTTTTTCTGCGGGGGGAGGACAATCTCTACTTATATGTGTTATAGTCTCTGCTCAAATACATTACCAAAAAGCAGTTCCATGCATGCCATCTAAACTAGAAACTGAGGGGGAAGAATAAGATGGCCAAATAAAGGGCTCTACTAATTTTCTCCCCTGCCTCTACCAGTTTCACATCTACACAAAACAAACCACCTTTATAAGAACCAAAATCAAGTGAGCACTCACAATACCTGGTTTTAACCTCACATTAATAAAAGAGACACTGAAGAAGGTAGGAAAGAAAGTCTTAAATCCTTGATATTACCTCTCTCCAGTCCCTTGGCAGTGGCCATGTGGTGTGAAGAGAGAATCTGTGTGCTGTAAGAAGGATAGCACAGCAACTGTGAGACGTTGTATTGAACTCAGTGCTGTCCTGCCACAGCAGAAAGCAAAACTGGACTGAACTCAGCTAACACCTTTCCACAAAGGAAGCAGATAAATCAGCCCTAGCTAGAAGGGAATAACACATGCCAGCTGTTGGAACTTGAGTTCTGGCAAATGTCGCTATGGTAGGCTAAAGTGCTCTGGGATCCTATAAAAACTTGTAAGGCAGTATAGACTGCAAAGACTGCAACTCCTAGGTGGGTCCTAGTGCTGAACTGGGCTCAGAACCAGGGAACTTGGAGGGCATATGACATACTGAGACATCATCTGGGGTGGCCAAGGGAGTGCTTACATCACCCCCGCAACCTTAGGCTGCACAGCTCATGGCTCCAAAACAGACTGCTTCCTTCTGCTTGAGGATTGAAGAGAGTAAAGAGAACTCTGTCTTACATCTTGGATACCACCTCAGTCACAGTAAGATAGGCCATCAGTCAAAGCCGTGAGGCCCCCTTTCCAGGCCCTAGTTCCAAAATGACAATTCTAGACACACCCTAGGCCAGAAGGAAACCTGAGGCCTTGAAGGAAATTACCCAGTCCTGGCAGGATTCATCACTTGCTAACTAAAGAGCCCTTGGACCCTGAATAACTAGGAGAAATACCCAGGTAGTATCTTGTGGCCCTTCAGTGAGACTCTGAGACTGGCTACCTTCAGGTAAAACTCAGCACCATCCCAGCTATAGGGGCTATGGAGAAAAACCCTTTCTACTTGAGAAAAGCAGAGGAAAAAGTAAAGGGGACTTTGTCACTGGTTTAGCCACAGGGGGCTAGAGAACCAAGCAGGTCCTTGGGGTCTTTGAGTCCAGGCTTTGGCTCTTCGATGGCATTTCTGGATCTATCCTGGGCCAAACGAGAGTCCACTGCCCTGAAAAGTAAGTCCTATCCTAGGCAGCATTTACCGCAAGGTAACTAAAGAGCCCTTTGGCCTTAAGGAAATACTTTCAGTATCCTGGAATACTCCCTGTGGGCCGTGGTGGTAGTGGTCACAGATTGAGGCTCCTCTGCCTGTGGAAAATGGGGGGAAGAGGGGATAGAACTGCATCTCGTGGTTTGAATGCCAGCAAAGCCACAGTACAATAGAACACCAGGTAGACTTCTAAGGATTTTACTCTAGTCCCTGGCTACTGAATGGCACCTCTGGACTTGGCAGGGGCCTGTGGGAAGTCTGTGCCCTGAGGGGAAAGACACAGGCCTGGCTGGCTTTCTCACCTGCTGGTTATAGAGCCCCAAGGCCTTGAGAAAACATTGGAAGTAGCCAGGTAGTGTTTATAGCAGGCCACGAGCCAGGCTCAGTCCTGTGCTGGTTTCAGGTCTGATCGAGAGCACTCTGATGCTTGTGGCCACAGGGGTGCTTGTGTCACCCCATTCCTAGCTCCAGCTGGTTCAGAGTAGAGAGAGAGAGAGACTTCATTTGTTTGAGAGAAAGTAAGCGAAGAAAACATGAGTCTCTTTCTGGTAATCCAGTGATTTATTCCAGATATCACTTAAGACCATCAAGGTGGTATCTCTATGAGTCTACAAGAACCACAGGATTACTGGCCTTGGGTGCCCCCTAAAGCCAACACAGCTTAGATCACAACACCCAAGTCTTTTTTAATACCTGGAAAGCCTTCCCAAAAAGGATGGGTGCAAATAAGCTCAGACAGTGAGCAGTACAAAAAATAACTAACTCTTTAATGCCCAGACACAAATGAACATCCATCCACAAGCATCAACATCATCCAGGAAAACATTACCTCAGCAAATGAACTAAATAAGGCACCAGAGATCAATTCTGGAGAAACATAGATATGTCACCTTTCAGACAGAGAATTCAAAATAGCTGTGTTGAAAAAAACTCAAAAAAATTGAGAATAACACAGAGAAGGAATTCAGAATTCTGTCAAATAAATTTAACAAAGAGATTGAAATAAAAACAAGCAGAAATTCTGGAGTTGAAAAATGCAATTGACCTACTGACGAATGCATCAGAGTTTTCCAATAGCACATTGATTAAGCAGGAAAAAGAATTAGTGAGCTTGAAGACAGGCTATTTGAAAACAGAGGAGATAGTTTACTCCATTTTCATACTGCTATAAAGAGCTGCCTGAGACTCAGTAATTTATAAAGAAAATAGGTTTAATTGACTCACAGTTCAACATAGCTGGGGAGGCCTCATGGAGGAAGGGGAAGCAAGGCACCTTCTTCAAAGATGGCAGGAAGGAGAAGAGTCAAGCAAAGGGGGAAGAGCCCTTTATAAAACCATCAGATCTCATGAGAACTCACTCACTATCATGAGAACAGCATGGGGGAATCTGCCCCCATGATTCAATTACCTCCACCTTGTCTCTCCCTTGACATGTGGGGATTACAATTCAAGATGAGATTTTGGTGGGGATGCAAAGCCTAACCATATCGGGGACAAAAGGAAAAATTATAAGAAACAAAGAAGCATGCCTACAGGATCTAGAAAGTAGCCTCAAATGGGCTACTCTAAAAGTTATTGGCTTTAAAGAGGTGGTAGAGAAAGAGATAGGAGTAGAAAGTTTATTCAAAGGTGTAATAACATAGAATTTCCCAAACCTATATCATTATTCAAGTACAAGGTTATAGAACACCAATCAGATTTAGCCCAAATAAGACTACCTCAAGGTATTTAATAAACTTCCGAAGGTCAAAATAAAGTATCCTAAAAGCAGCAAGAGACAAGAAACAAATAACATACCATGAAGCTCAAATACATCTAGGAACTGACTTTTCAACAGAAAGCTTACAGACCAGGAGAATGGTATGACATGTTTACAGTGCAGAAGGAAAAATACTTTTATTCTGGAATACCATATCCAGGGAAAATATTAGTTAAATATGAAGAAGAATTGAAGACTTTCCAGAAAAACAAGAGCTGGCGAATTTCATCAACACCAGACCAGACAATAACTACAAATAAAATAAAATACCAAGGAATTAACCACAGAAGTGAATGATTTCTACAATGAAAACTATAAAACGCTGATGCAATAAATTGGAGAAGACACAAAATACTGGAAAGATGTTTCACGTTCATGGATTAGGAGAATAAATATTGTTAAAATGTCCACTCTATCTAAAGTAATATACAGATTCAATTCAATCCTTATCAAAATACCAATGACATTTTTCACAGAAATAGGAAAAAAAGTCCTAAAATCTATGTGGAACCACAAAAGACCCAGAATAGCAAAGATTTATTAAGTAAAAAGAACAAAACTGGAGGAATCACATTATTTGACTTTAAGTTATACTACAGAGCTTTAGTAATCAAAACGGCATGGTTCTGGTATAAAAACAGACACATAGATCAGTGGAACAGAATAGAGAACCCAGAGATAAATCTATACATCTACAGTGAACTCAATTTTGACAAAGGTGCCAAGATCATACATTAGGGAAAGAACACCATTTTCAATAAGTGGTGCTGGGAAAACTGGATATTCGTATGCAGAAGAATAAAACTAGACCCCTTTCTCTCACCATATAGAAAACTCAAATCAAAATGGATTAAAGACTTAAATGTAAGACCTCAAACTATGAAAATACTAAAAGAAAACATTGGAGAATGCTCTCAGACATTGGACTGGTTGAAGATTTATTGACTAATACCTCAAAAGCACAGGCAACCAAAGCAAAAATGGACAAATGATCACATCAAGTTAAAAATCTCTGGCACAGCAAAGGAAACAATCAACAAAGTGAAGACAAAACCCATAGACTGAGAGAAAATATTTGAAAACTACCCATCTGACAGAATATATAAAGAGCACAAATAACTCTCTAGGGACAAATCTAATAATCTGATTTAAACATGGGCAAAAGATCTGAATAGGCATTTCTCAAAAGAAGACATAAAAATGGCAAACAGGTATATGAAAAGGTCCTCAATATCACTGATTGTCAGAGAAATACAAATCAAAACTACAATGAGATATCACCTCACCCCAGATAAAATGGTTTTTATCCAAAAGTCAGTCAGGCTATAACAAATGCTGGCAAGGATGTGAAGCAAAGAGAACCCTTGTACACTGTGGGTTAGAATGTAAATTAGTAGAATCACTATGGACAACAGTTTGACAGTTCCTCAAAAAATTAAAAATAGAGTTACCATACAATCCTGCAATCCCACTCCTAGGTACGTACACAAAAGAAAGGAAATTAGTGTATTGAAAAGGTGCCTGCACTACAATGTTTGCTACAGCTCTGCTCACAATAGTTACACAATGGAAGCAACACAAGTGTCCAACAACAGATGAATGGATAAAGAAAATTTGGTAACTATACACAATGGGGTTCTAGTCAACCATAAGAAGAATGAAATCCTGTCATTTGCAACAACATGGATGAAACTGGAGTTCATCATTTTAAGCAAAATGAGCCAAGCACAAAAAGACAAACTTCACATGTTCTCATTTATTTGTGGAAGCTAAAAATTAAAATAATCAAACTCTTGGAGCTAGAGAGTAGAAGCATGGTCTGGTAAGGGTAGTTGGGGGAAGTGGGGAGGAAATAGTGATGGTTGATGGGTACAAAAATAGAAATAATTATTAGGACTTAGTGTTTGTTAACACAACAGAATGACTGTAGTCAAAAATAATTTAATCATACATTTTAAAACTACTAACATATTATAACTGGATTGTTTGTAACACAAAAGATAAATGCTTCAGGTCATGGATACCCCATTTACCCTGATGTGATTACTATTTATTGCATGCCTTTATCAAGATATCTCATGTATCTCATATATATACACCTACTATATACCCATAAAAATAAAAATTAAATCAAAAATTTAAAAAACTGGAATCCAATACTACTTCATTCTCTATCCTCTTACCTTTCTCTATGCTTCTTCATTTAACTACAATTCCAGACAATAAATTATGCATTATTTGAATTGGTTTATTTATTATTTCATCAGTGGAAAAAATTGTTTCTTCTCTCTGCTACGGTAACTTTCTCCCTGATTAGCTTAGTGCACAGTTATCAATCAATAAATATCTATGAATGAACATATCCATTTAGTATAAATACATTCACTTTGACTCTGAGTCATAGTGCACACACACACACACCCAAGCACGCACACACGTGCTACTTCGACAGAAAATAATCAAATATATTTACAAAGTAATTATAAGTTGTAAAGCTAATACAGTTATGGTTTTTTCATCTGAGGAAGAAAATTCAAGACAAATTTAGGAAATTGTTTTCCAGTGTCAAGATTTTTGGATGAAAGATACTAGCCAGTTCACTTCCTTCTATCCTTCTATTAAACCAATGATATACAAATAAATGAATTACTTTTGCCAGTTTTTATATCTGCAAGATAAATCAGCAGTAGACAAAACGAAATTTCTTTTTTTCTTAGAATCAATAACTCTTGTTAAAGGAGATGGTATTTCTACTAAGGGATAAGTGAAAAGCTCAGGAAATGCTCAAATGAGGGCCTTTATAACTTTTATATATTCCAATTTTAAAGATGTCTTCTAGTTCTTATGAACACACAAACACACATGCACACGTGTATACACAGATACACACATGTACGCACACACAAACACACACACACTAACTGTGGTGGGGAAATTGACAGATATGGAGAAGATGCATTCATCCAAGTTTAATGGTTTTCTTAAATCTTGAAAAGTAAATACTGAAGTTATGGTTAATTAATTTACACCAATATATTCTCCAGTGAAAGTTAATTTCAGTTATATCTCTGCTTTTTTCTAAAGCAAATTAGTGCTTCAATAAACATTCTTAAAAATGCTTTCTCATGTATGAAAGAGTTTTCCGAGGTGTATGCCTGTACGTGGAATTGCTGAGGCACAGATGTAATGCATGAGATAGATGCTATAAGTAAGCTCACTCAGTCCTTATTTTAAACTCTTTCCAGTCTGTATTATAGTCTTCAGGGAAGCTATAGATTTGAAGCATATCTTGTACTGGTTCTTTCATATCTCCATCTCCCTGCTTGTATATGACCCAGTTTCCATCAAGAAAACTAGTAGTGGAGCTTCTGTGGGAAGAAGTCACATATGTGAAGGAATGTTGGGTTTCTTGCAAGCTTGGAGTGGAAGTGGTCGATTCTTCTGGAAAATCAGAGATTTTCTCAAATATACTTATACCCACAAGTACAGCAGCAGCTGTTGGGTTTCATCACCATTTGTGGTGTTTTGAGAGCCTTTTTAAAATATATTCAGTTCCTGGTAATGTACAGCCCAAGCTCTCACATGTAGACTGTGCATGTAATGGCAGTAGTCTACGTTTTAAACTCCATATGCCTCAATAGGCTATTTGTAATTTTATACGTTTCAACTAAGAACCATGATGAATGCAATCCATGTTTAACATTACTGTATAAATAACAAAATATGGATCAAAGTGTTCACTAACAGCAGTGTGTGTGTCCAAGTCGTTCCTAAGCCCACCAACACTTGATGCTGTCAAATATTTTAGAAAGCTTGCCTGTGTTACTGGACAAATTATGTTTTCTCTGCTGTGAGATGACTTCCAGGATAATGCACTCTTCAAGTACAATGCATATTTTTACATGTTCTTGATCTGATCCTGATTTAAAGAAGTCATTTTCACATTCAGAGTGCCAATCCTTTGGCAATTAGGTTCTATGGGTATGTAGTTTGGGATTTTTTCCACTTTAAGATGACTGTGGGTGAGAATAAAGCCTTACATTTAATAGTTATCATTATCAATGTTTTCCTTTAGATGTTGCATTTTTTCATAATTTGAGTGACTATACCTTCCTCCCTAAGCTTAATAGTTTCTAGCTTTCGATTTAAAGTGAGAGACGGGCAACTCTTCCTTTCACTTGAAAATTCAGAGGCCTTGTAGGATTATTGATCGACCTAATTTTCATATTGTTGTGTCTAAGGAAATTGCAAGGCCTAAGGAGAGGAAAAAAAGATGGAGACACAGCCAGTCAACGGAGAGTCAGAACACACACACTTATTAAGTTTATCATCTTATATGAGAACAGTTCATGGCTCCCCGAAACAAATACAATAGTAACATTGAACATCACTGATCACAGATCACCAAAACAGACATAACAATAATGAAAAAGTTTGAAATATTGTGAGAATCACTAAAAGGTGACACACAGACGTGAAGTGAGCACACGCTGTCAGAAAAATGGTGCCAATAGACTTGCCCAATGCAAAGTTACCAAAAACCTTTGATTTATAAAAAATGCAATATTTGTGAAATTCAGCAAATGAAGTGCAATACAATGAGGTACGCTTGCATCTATCCAAAGAACTGGAATCAGTAGGTCAAAGGCATGTCTGTATTTCCATGTGCATTGCGGCATTACAATAGCCGAAATATGGAATCAATCTAAGTGTCCACCATGGACAAATGGATTTTTAAAATGTAGTATACACACACAATGGAATACTATTCAGCCTTGAAAAAAAACATGAAATTCTGTCATTGGTGACAATATGGATGAACCTAGAGAAGACATCATGTTACGTGAAATAAGCCAGTCACAGAGAGACAAATACCACAGGATCTCACTTATATGTGGAATCTGAAAAAGTCAAACTCATAAAAATACAGAGTAGAATGGTGCTGACCAGAAGATGGAGGCAAGGGTGATGGTAGACTGGTAAAGGGGAAATGTTGGTCGGAGAGCACAGAGTTCCAGTTAGACAGGAAGGATAAGCTCTGGTGATCTATTGCACAGCAAGATTAATCTAGTTCATACCAATGTATTGTGTGTTTCAAAACAGTTAAAAGAGGATTTTAAACAATGTCACCACAAATGAATGACAAATGTTTCAGGTGATATATTACATTGCCTGATTTAATCATTCCACATTGCAAACATGTATTAAAACATCACTTTTACCCCATAGGCATATATAATTATTTTTATTTGTCAACTAAAAATACAATTTAAAGGACTTTAAAAAGGATAACTAAGGTAGGATGCTATTTATATTATAGTTTAAGTATTAATTTATAAAATGATGCTATGCATTTTATAGATGAATATTTATATAGATAGAATACACATAAAAGCACTCTGGGAATAATGCATAATAACTTTCAGTTCATACTTTCCTATGCAGAGGAAAAATGGAAGAAGATTTTAGTTAGCTTAACATAATATTGTGTTTAATGAAAATGACATTTCTCCTCTGTGAACCTTCCTATACACAGCACCATAAACATATGTGAACCTTTATAGTTTGTGATATTATTGCATATATTTCATCTCACCCAATAGATATGCTCCCAGAACACTGGTCTCTAGCCTATTTGACCATCCTTTATAATGCTGAAGAAATTCTGAGCACACACTGTTACCTTATGTTTATTTTCCATTTGGTTGTTTTTAATCCATATGATCTTGTTCTGCTGTAATTAATATACACATACGGTAGTAATTCATTTATATTAGTAATTCACTTTTATATTAATTAATATGTTGTATTACTGAGTACAATATAATTTATAAAATTTTGAGATCTACAACTCATAAAAATGAATAAAAGCACAAGTTCTAATGTTTTGAACACCCCGAAGTACCTTTTAGTGCATTCTAAGGTTGAATTCACCCAAATATGGTTAGTATGGTAAACTATAGCTGAATTTAATTTAAAAATCAAGAAAGAGCTCAGCAATCAATTGAAAATATAAACCCAGAGAGTTTACAAATTGCCTGATTAGAGCAAGAGTTCAAGAGTCTGGTCCGTAATCAAATTCTTCATCTAGCATACCACACTGCCTTCTCAGGGACCACACTGCCTTCTCAGGGCTGCCTTCATGTCCCTATTCCTCAGACTATAGATGACGGGGTTCAGGGTCGGGGGCACGACTGTGTAGAACGCAGACAGGAAAACATCCAGAACGGGGGGAGAATTTGAAATTGGCTTCACATAGGCAATGCTGCCAGATATCATAAAGAGTGTTACAACCACAAGATGTGGAATGCAGGTAGAAAATGTTTTTGATCTACCCTCCTTAGAAGGAATCCTCATGATGACAGAAAAAATGTACATGTAGGAGAGAGTAATTACAACAAAGGAGATTATCACAAGACTTGTACCAAAAACCATGACTCCAATCTCAATGGTAATTACTTTGGGGTCTAAGAGGCTTAGGAGCTGTGGAATATTACAGAAAAATTGACGTATTCTATTGCGCCCACAGAATGGTAATGAGAATGTTGCTATCACATGCATGAATCCACAGATCACCCCACTGAGCCACGACATGGCCATCATCCTCAGACAGACACCTTGGTTTATGATGACCTCATAATGTAAAGGCCGGCAGATGGCCATATAGCGGTCATAGGACATCACTGTAAGGATGGCTACCTCCGTAGTTGCCAAGTCCATGAAAAAGAAGGCTTGCAGAGCACACCCAAAGAAAGAAATGGAAGTATCATGAGTCAAGGAACTAACAATAGATTTTGGAATTGTGACAGAGATGTAACAAAAATCTAAGAAAGACAAGTTTCTCAAAAAGAAATACATTGGGGTTTGGAGGTGAACATCCAGAGTGGTAAGTATGATGATTAGGAGATTTCCTATGACAGCTGCCAGGTAAACTAGGAAGAATAGAGCAGCATGTACAATCTGAATATCCCAGGAATTCGAAAATCCCATGAGGAAAAATTCAGCAACTTCAGTTTGGTTAAAATCACTTGTGGTCGTTCCATTTCTTCCTAAAGAGAGAAAAAAAATGGATTATAGAAATATCAAATATGGCTACCCCCAGTGATATTTCAATTTGTGATAATTAATTATAAGGTTACTCATATGCAGCATGGATACTATCGTTCTAACCCTAAATCTCAATTACACAGAATAGTGCTTTATACAAAGCATATTCTCAATAAATACATCATAGTATGTGAGGTGTATAAAAGACGACAACCAAAATGCAAAATAAAAAGGGAGAATGAATAACCTCACTGACATAATCAACAAAGAAAATATATAGTATTAACAAAAGAATAAAGTGTGCATACTTGGACAAAAAATGAGTATTATTCCCATCAACTGAATATACATATTTATTTTGAAGCATTTTATTTGCTCATTATGTGTTAAAGAACAGCATTGCAAGTGGTTTGTCATAGTTCTTTTCAGTTTTATGAAAATAAAATCAAAGTGGTATTAGTAATCTGAAAAAAAGGCTCCTTATGTCATAACTATTTAGTGAGGTTATAGTCACAGCCTTTCAAAAAAGTATCAGGAGACATTTGGTAAACACCTCACGTAAAAAGCACAATGGTTGGCTCTTATAGTAAAAGATTTCATAAGAAACAGTTCTTGAATTCAAAACTTAAACAATCAAATAGAGAACGTAGGGAGGTAAAATACTAAGTGGAATCTGGTATTATAAACAATAGCAGGCATGTTGAGAAAGGGTAATAGTGGATGTATCGAGAAAAGAGATTGGTCTTATTTTGTGTTGTTATAGAAGAGTTGCAGAGAACAGTGTCTGAGCTAGGTTTTGAGAACTATTTTACTGAATGATTTTTAGACTGATATTTTTGAAGAAAGCCACATAGGAAAAGGCAGAGGTACAGAAGTATTTATCGTATGCTTAGGATATGGGTATGGATTAGCTAGGAAATGTGTATTTACATCAGTCTAGTCTTTTTGCTGGTCTTCAGAATCTGTCTTCAATGTTGAGATTCAAAGAAAAAGAATATCAATTATGTATTCAAGACACCTAAAAATATTGAGCAATTTCTACAATGATCTTTCCTAGCATCTGCGACTCACTTTATTTTTTTTTAATTTTGCTTTGGATTGGTCTAGTCCAGTAAAATGGGAGTCCTCATTCCCAGACTTCTATAGTGTTTAAGCCAAACTCTGAAATGGATTTTCACCCATATCAAATAATGTAGCTGGAATTTATGTAGGGTAAACTGTATCAATTTAAAGTATGCAATTCTAGGAGTTTTCGCAGTTGTATATGCCTATGAAACCACCACCACAACCAGGGCAGACTATTTTCATCATATCCAAAATATTCCTTATCCTTCTTTGTATATAATCTCTTCTTCTGGCAGTTTTCACTCTAGGCAATCACTGATTTCCTGGTCTTTCTTGGGTAAATCAAAAGTTAAACCGAGAAAGAAAACCAAAATGGAGTCAACTGAATGTCTCTCTACTGGAAAATGTGTTTCTATTTGTTCTAGTTTTCTGACATTGATCGCCTAAATAGCTGGTTGTTAAAGGGACAGGTACAACCAAATAGAAAGAAAAATGCTTCTTGTGACCAAGTAAAAGAACCAACTTCATCTTGGGAATCTATTCTGATTACAGTTTACCAGGGCACCATTAATTGATATCTCTTTTATCAAAATGTTTAAAGGAATGATGTGGTGACACTAATCAGGAAGAGAAATATCAAGGACTCTAAAGTGAGAACTATTATGCATTGACAGGCATTGGAATTGACTCTTTTATTATGAATTTTTTAAAATTCAGTCAATGCAAACATGTTTAAATGTGCACATCCTTTTCATTGAACACACACACATACAGAACTTTCACCACTGAAAAGAAATATAGACTCATCCAATCCCACCATACATCGAGACTACACACACACACACACGCACACACACACACACACCTTTCACCACTGAAAGGAAATATAGACTCATCCAATTCACCACACATCAAAACTCGTATTATACTACTCCCTCTTTTCTTTTACCTGCTTTCATGGATGTGCATTGCTCATGCCCAGATCCAGAACTGCTATCACCCCAAAAAAAGAAATAACTGTGTATTCTAAAATGTGTTGTGCTTAATCTATAAATCAGATAAGAAGATGGTATGGAAATATATCAGTGCAATCTATTAATTGAAAAATAATATAACATTATTTATGGTTTTATTTTCCACTTATGGTATTGAACTTACTGCATGCTATGAGCTGATTTTTGTTGAACTGGGCCATTGAGCAACTCCAGTCATTCAAAATTTCAAACTTCTGTTTCTTTGAGAAGGAGCCTTGGTTTACCTGAACATATCAGATAAAATTGAAAAATGCCCTAATCTAACAATGTGGCTGTAGCCTCCAAGTTGCAACTGCAAATGTCTTTATCTTCTCCCTGATTCAAAAATATAAACTTGATGAGTGCCACATCTGGTTTCCATTTAGCTGTGATTCAATATTTGTAATGAAATGGTGATTAATAAGTGAGATCCTAATGAGAGAAACTCTTTATAATTCGGAGGTCTCTGGAGACAAGATTTCTTGTAAATATGTCCTTGGCGAGCAAAAAGAAAAGCAGAGCTTTGATTAATTCAGTGACTAGCAACAAGGAGAAATATTCTTTTCTGTGATGTGGGATAAAAGAATGCGAATTAATTGCATAATATAACCTTCCACACGCCCAGAGGCTCGATTAGATAGAGCGCTTGTGCTGAGAGTGAAAGAAGAAACGATCGATACTTATGCTTGGACAATAGGTATAAACCCAACCAGAGATTCTGGAACTAGATTTTCATTCTTAATATTTTTATCCTAATATTCTTCCCAAATAGGTATATTTGTGCCTTTTCATAGCCCTTTCTATCCCAAGTCAATTTTGTATATGAATGGCAAATTTTAAACACAAAGCTAATCCAGCTGGGCATCCTGGCTCATGCTTGTAATCCTAGCACTTTGTGGGGCTGAGGCAGACAGATAGCTTGAGCCCAGGAGTTTAAGACCATCTCACTGGGCACAGGGGCATGTACCTGTAGTCCCAGCTACTCGGGAGGCTGAGGTGGGAGGATCTATTGAGCCAGGGAGATGGAGGTGAGCCATAGTCACACCACTGCACTCCACTCTCAACAACAGAGCAAGATCCTGTCTCAAAAAAAAAACAAAATGAAATAACAACAACAAAAAAACAAAACTAACCTGTCACCCTTGTCTTAAGACCTTTCTCTGCATTTCTTTGGTATTAAAGGTAAAATTTCTTGACTTGGCCCATATGCTTGAATGCTCCAATCCTCTGTCTCATTTCATGTCATTCCTCACGCCTACATGGATTGAGTGGTCACTGGATTGCTTCTTTTGTGGAATGCTATTCAAATATTTCCTCATTTAAAATTGAGTTTATTTTTATTAGTATGCAGGAATTATTTTTCATTATGGATACTAAGTCTTTATTGATGAAATTAGTTGTAGATATTTTTCAAGTTTGTAGTTTTATATTTCTCTTTATAGTGTTTTGACAAATAGAACTTACTAATTTCAATGTTGTTTTTCTATTAATTCTCCACCTTTTTTTTTTTTTTTTTTGAGACGGAGTCTCTCTCTGTCGCCCAGGCTGGAGTGCAGTGGCATGATCTCCACTCACTTGCAAGCTCCTCCCGGGTTCACGCCATTCTCCTGCCTCAGCTTCCCGAGTAGCTGGGACTACAGGTGCCCGCCACCACGCCAGGCTAATTTTGTATTTTTAGTAGAGATGGGGTTTCTCCATGTTGATCAGGCTTGTCTCAAACTCCCGACCTCAGGTGATCCGCCCCACCTCGAACTCCCAAAGTTCTGAGATTACAGAATTCTCCACTTTTAAAATTTTTTTGTTTTGGTTTTTTCTTTTGTTGTTGAAGAAATTATTTCTACAAATGGCACTGGCAGGATGGTGGAATAGGACTTTCCAACTCTCATCTGCTCACAGAAACATCAGTTCAAACAATTATTCATGCCCAAAAGGACCTTCACAAGAACTAAGAAAACCAGATGAGATATTGCAGCACAGAAATTTTAAAACATGCAATGAAGAGGATAGGAAGGACAGTGTCATCTTACCCACATCGCCTCATTCCCAATGCCAAGCAGTAATGTATGGAGAGAGATAACCTCTGTGTGGGCAAAGGAAAGTGAGCACCAAGCTTTGCCTCAGACCCCAACACCAGGCTTACCCCAGTAAAACCCAGCACCATGCTAGCCCCTGCATCACCAGGCTCCAGGCTGCCTTGCAAACACAGTCCCCAAGCTTGCTCTACTGCCAGGTCAGCCTCAGAAGCCCCGGGCTCCAGAGATCCCCCTGCACTAGGCCAGCTCCCACAACCATAGTCTTTAGGCCTGCCTCGTAAACAGGCTAACCCAACACGTCAAATCACCATGTCAGCACCCATGCACCCAGCCTCCAGGCCCATTCCTGTGCCAAGGAAGCCCCCGTAGACACAGACTCCAGACCTGCCTGAGGTTCTCCATCACTTGCTCCACCACTAGGGCAGCCCCAGTGACCACAGGACCCAGACTGTTTCAGTGCCAGACCCAACCCTATAACCCCAGGCTTCAGGCCTACTCCAGTGCCAGATTGGCACCTGAAGACCACAGCACCAGGCCGTCCACCATGGCCTTGGGCACCATTCCAACACCAGCAGACCCAGTATCCAGGCTGGCCCTACAGATACAGGCTCTAAGCCCACCAACTGCAGGCCAGTTTCCCCCGTGGCCACAAGCACCAGGCTGGTACCCATGGACCCAACCTGCAGGGTGTTCCCTGTGGACACAGGCCACAGGCCCACTCAGTGCCAGGATGGCCCCTGTGATCTGGCACAGTGAGAACTCTAGGGCCTTCAGTCACATCAACAAGCACGAACCGCCTGTGTTCTACAGGAGCACTAAGAAGTCACGAATGACCCAGCTCCTCTTCCAAAGTGCCCTTCTGAATTGCTATGCCAACAAAATGGAGAAGTACTGTTTGGGGAATAATATACCTTTCAAGATCTTGCTTGCTGCGAATAACACTCCTGCACATCCTCTTATTTCTCACCCCAATATCTTATCTTCACCCCAATATCAAAGTGGTGTTGCTCCCTCCAAACACCACCTCTTTGACTCCTACATGAGGAGAAAGGACTCCTCATTGCTGTTGGCAGGGTGGGATTTCCAGCTCTCTGCGGGATATCACTGTGGATGCAATGGGCAAATGTGCTGTGTTACTGCTTCCACGTAATTCCAGTGACACCATAGTGGATGGGCTTGTTATCGTTGGGCTGTGGCAACGATAACTCTCCAGCAGGCTTCTGCTGACTCCAGCCCATCAAGGGGCGGGAGAGGCAAAATCAGGTAAGAGTGGATGCCCAGGCTCCCCATTTTAATGTTTCTGGTGGGACTAGAGGTAGGACTCTGTCTTTTCTGTGGTGTTTGGCTGGAGTGGAGAAGGTATTGTCTAGAAGTTTCTGTCTTGCCTGCCTTCCCTTTTCGTGTCCTTTGACTGGAGAGACTTGGGTGTTATAGGGGCTTTTTCTTTAGATCTGTGCCCTTCAGCATTTCTGGACTGTGAGATTTTCCAAGACCTAGGCTAGACCTCCTTCCTATACAGGAGGAAGAAAACAACAAGCCAGTCCCTAGCTGGTCTGCCTTATTCCCTTCACCTTCCAGAATCTTCCTATGCTTGTTTTATATACAGTGTCCAAGGATTTTAATTGAACTTGGCAGGAGGAAAAAGAAACAGTACTTCAACTCCATCTTTCTAAATGCTAAAGTCCTTATATAAACTTCTTATTTTAGAATAATTTTGGATTTACATAAAGATGCTCTTCCATGATTGGGCCTGCATCATAGGTTAAGTCACCTGAAGACAAGAGGAAAAAAATAGTAAACTTACCACAGGTTTGATAGTATTTCAAATTTTGGACTTTGATCTACCTGCTACTGTATATTTCCTAGAATTCTCAGGTAGCTGCTTTATCTTTTCCCACCAGGTGAAATGTGTTTGCTCTGTCCTACCTGGAACTATAAACTGTCACTTGAACTCCTCATTCTCCTTTCCCAGGGCCCCCATGTCACATTGCTTTTGTCTAATCTTTATCAAGATCTGTGCTTTTGGCATGCAATCTTACATCGTGAAACTCCAATAGTAATGGCTTTTGTATCAGTGAGAAGTATATTATTTCTTCACCAGAGTACCTACAACTTGCTTCACAGGAATGGGCTAAGCTAAATAAGACCTGCGTATTTTTCTTACTAAGTTAGAAAACTCTTACCTAAATGTATGGATTGTTGGACATGAGAAAAAGTATTAATGACTTTTCCAGAGAGTTCTGTCCTTCTGATTGATCAGAAACCTAGAAATATGGAGATGCTTCACAATGAAGACTCTTATTTCCAGTTCATTAGTTGCAAAATGAATTAAAATTTTTAAATCATAAGCCTGAAGTTTGAAATATTCTGTTTAGAGATCCTGGAAAACTAATTTGGAGGAGGTTATTCATGTCCTATAGTGTATTAAAGATTATATCTGTTTAGATGCTATTTATAGAGTGGTCAAATAATATTTTATAATTCTTCACTGCAATTCGTAAAAAATATGGTCAAAATATTGCAGATAATTTTTAATCACTGGAAGCAAGCCATTTATTCCACAATTTGATTATCTTAATAAATATGTAAATTCTCCATCTATATGGAGATCATGGCCCTGGGTTTTCAGTTTTCTTCTCCTAAATGGAAAGCTGGTATAATTTGTTTAAGTGCCTTGTACACATAGCTTGTGTCTTCACCCTGAATTCTCAAAAGACAGATTTCTAAGACTCTGATTTAGGCAAATCCACAAGTTTTACTATTTTCTTTATTTTGGAAGCAGCTTCATGATCATAGTTTTGAAAATTATGTCTTTAGAATTGTCTGCTCCTCAACTAAAATGAAAATGGCACCGTTTCCAATTATTTTATTCATATTATGTTTCACTTTGCAGAAATACACAAAATTTATGTGATTTATTTTATCCTTTACTTCTTATCCCAAGGCAACTTTTTCAGTCTTTACCATGTTCACCCAATAAATCTGGATATTCCATGGTAAGGAAAATACAGGTTAATTCAACTTGTATCTAATGCAAACCAGACATGAGCCAGAAGTTATTTTCTCTGCACATCACTGCTTTTTAATAATGTAAACATGACTTATCAACATTCAATTATATAATTTTTTCATGTTTTAAGCTATTGTTATAGTGCAAAGTTTAACACTATCCTTTTTAAATTTTTATTTATTTTTGTCAGATAATGACAAATTACAATTGTATACAATATAAAATTGTTGCTACCATATATGTAGTATACACATATATACACATTATGGAATAATTGAATCAAGCTAATTAACATATCTATCACCTCAAATACTTATTATTTATCCTTCCTGTCTAGCTGAAGCATTATATCCTCTTACCACCATTGCCCATTCCCCACAGTCCCCAGCTCCAGGTAACCACAATCCTGCACTCTGCTTCTATGTGCTGGAATTTTTTAGATTCCACATCTAAAATTAAGTGAGAGCATGCTATAATTTGCCTTTCTGTGCCTTACTTATTTTACTTAACATAATGATCTCCAGTTCCATCCATGTTGTTGCAAATGACAGGATCTCATTCTTTTCTATGGGTGAATAGTACTCCATTATATATATGTACCACATTTTCTTAATCCATTCGTCTGTTGATGGACATTTAGGTGACTTCCACATCTTAGCTATTGTAGACAGCTGCAACAAACATAGGTGTGCAGATATCTCTTTGATATACTGATTTTCTTTCTTTTGGGTATATACTCAGCAACAGGATTGCTGGATCATATTGTAGCTCAATTTTTGTTTTTTTGAGGAAACTCCAAACTGTTGTTCATAGTGGTTGTAGCAATTGACACTCCCACCAACAGTGTACAAAGGCTCCCTTTTCTCCACATCCTCACCAACATTTGTTATTGCCTGACTTTTGGATATGAGCCATTTTAACTGGGGTGAGATGATATCTCATTGCAGTTTTGATCTGCATTTCTCTGATAAGCACCTTTTCATATGCCTGTTTGATCTGCATTTCTCTGATGAACACCTTTTCATATACCTGTCTGCCATTTGTATGTCTTCTTCTGAGAAATATCTATTGAAATCTTTTGCCCATCTTTTGATCAGATTATTAAATTTTTCCCTATAGAGGTGTTTGAGCTTCTTATGTATTCTGATTATTAACCCTTTGTCAGTGGGTAGTTTGCAAATATTTTCTCCCATTCTGTGGGTTGTCTCTTTAGTTTGTTGATTGCATCCTTTGCTGTGCAGAAGCATTTTGACTTTCTGTGATCCCATTTGTCCACATTTGCTTTGGTTGCCTGCGCTTGTGGGATGTTACTGCTAGAGAAATCTTTGCCCAACAAATGTCCTACAGATTTTCCTCAATGTTTTCTTGTAGTAGTTTTATAGTTTGACGTCTTAAATTTAAGTCTTGATTATGATTTGATTTTTGTATATGATGAGAGATGGGGGTCTAGTTTCATTTTCTGAATGTAGATATCCAGTTTTCCCAGGGCCATTTATTGAAGAGATTGTCTTTTTCCAGTGAATGTTCTTGGCATCTTTGTTGAAAATGAGTTCACTGTACATGTGTGAATTTGTTTCTGTGTTCTCTATTCTGTTCCACTGATTTTTGTGTCAGTTTTTGTGCCAGTACCATGCTGTTTTGGTTACTATAGCACTATAGTATAATTTGAAGTCAGGTAATATGATTCCTCCAGTTTTATTCTTTGTGCTTAATATAGCTTTGGTTATTCTGGGTCTTTTGTGGGTCCATATAAGTTTTATAATTTTTTTTCTATTTCTGTGAAGAATGTCATTGGTATTTTCATAGGGATTGCTTTGAATCTGTAGATTCCTCTGAGTAGTAAGAACATTTTAACAATATCGATTCTTCCAATCCATGAACATGAAATATTTTTCCACTTTTTGTTGTCCTCTTTAATTGCCTTCATTAGTGTTTTACAGTTTTCATTACAGAGCTTTTTCACTTCTTTGGCTAAGCTTAATTCCTAGGTATTTAATTTTATGTGACACTACACATAAAATGGGATTTTAAAAATTTCTTTTCCATATTGTTCACTGTTGTCATGTAGAATGCTACTTATTTTGTACTCTTGTGTTCTGCAACTTTACTGAGTTTATCAGTTCTAATAGCTTTCTGGTGGGGCCTTTAGGTTTTTCCAAATATGAGATCATATCTTCTGTAAACAAGGATAATTATTTGACTTCTCCCTTTCCAATTTGACACACTTTATTTCTTTCTCTTGTCTGATTGCTCTAGCTAGGTTTTCCACTACTATGTTGAATAACAGTGGGGAAGGTGGGCATCTGTGTTGTGATCCAGATCTTGGAAGAAAGGCTTTCAGTTTTTCCCCATTCATGATGATACTAGCTGTGGGTCCATTTTGCATGACTTTTATTATGTTGAAGTATGTTCATTCTATACCCAGTTTTTTTAAATTTTACATTAAGTTCTGAGATACATGTGCAGAGCATGCAGGTTTGTTACATAGGTATACATGTGCCTGGTGGTTTGCTGTGCCTATCAACCCATCATCTAGGTTTTAAGCCCCACATGCATTATGTATTTGTCTTAATGCTCTCCTTCCCCTTACCCTCCATGCCTCCGACAGGCCCCGTTGTGTGATGTTCCCCTCCCTGTGTTCATGTGTTCTCATTGCTCAACTCCCACTTATGAGTGAGAACATGTGGTGTTTGGTTTTCTGTTCCTGTGTTAGTTTGCTGAGAATGATGGCTTCCAGCTTCCCCCTTGTCCCTGCAAAGGACATGAAGTCCTTCTTTTTTATGGCTACATAGTATTCCATGGTGCTATACCCAGTTTTTTGAGGGCTCTTACCATGAAGGATTATTGAATTTTATCAAATGTTTATTCAGCATCATTTGAAGTGATCACATGGGTTTTTGTTCTTCATTCTACTGATACGATATATCACAGTGATTTATTTGCATATGCTGAACCATCCTTGCATCCCTTGGATAAACCCCACTTGGTCATGATTAATAATCTTTCTTTCTAATGTATTGTTGAATTTTGTTTGCTAGAATTTTGTTAGGACTTTTGCATCAATAACATAAGAGATATTGGCCTGTGGTGTTCCTTTTCTGATGTGTCTTTGTCTGGTTTTGGTATCAGTGTAATACTGGCCTCATGGAATAAGTTTGGAAGTACTCCCTCCTCCTCTATTTGTTGGAATAGTTTGAGTAGGATTGCTGTTAGTCCTTCTTTAAATGTTTGGTAGAATTCAGCAATGAAGCCACTGGGTCCTAAAGCTTTTCTACACTGGGAGACTGTTTATTACAGCTTTGACCTCGTTACTGGTTATTGGCTTGTTCAGGTTTTGAATTTCCTTAGGGTTCAATCTTGGTAGGTTGTTTAGGTGTCTAGAAATTTGTTCATTTCTTCTAGATTTTCCAATTTAATAGCATATAGTTGCTCATTGTAGCCACTAATGAACCTTTGAATTTCTGCAGCATCAATTATAATGTCTCTTTTTATTCTGATTTTGTTTATTCAGACATTCTCCTTTTTTTCTCAGTCTGGCTAAAGTTTCATAAATTTTGTCTAACTTTTCAAAAAACCAACTTTCTTTTATTGACCTTTTTAATTTCAATTTCATTTATTTCTGCTCTGATCTTTTTATTTCTTTTCTTCTACAGATTTTAGGTTTGGTTTGCTCTTGCTTTTCTAGTTCTTCAAAATGCATCATTAGATTGTTTATTTGAAAGTTTTCCTCTTTTTTGATGTAGGCTTTTATGGATATAAACTTTCCTCTTAGTACTGGTTTTGCTGTATCCCATAGGTTTTGATATGTTGTGTTTTCATTATCATTTATTTCAAGAAACTTTTCAATTTCCATCTTAATTTCTTCATTGATCCACTGGTCATTCAGGAGCATATTATTTAATTTCCATGTGTTTTTATAGTTTCCAAAATTCCTCTTGTTATTAATTTCTAGTTTCATTCCACTGTGGTCAGAGAAGATGCTTGATATTATTTCAATTTTTGGGGTGTTTTAAGACTTGTTTTGTGACCTAACATATGGTCTATCCTTGAGAATGATCCATGTGCTGAGGAAAAGCATGTGTATTCTGCAGCTCTTGGATGAAATGTTCTGTAAATGTCTATTAGGTACATTTGGTCTGTAGTGCAGATTAAGTCCAATGTTTGTTTGTTGATTTTCTGTCTGGAATATCTGTCCAATGCTGAAAGTGGGGTGTTGAAGTCTCCAGCTATTGTTGTATTGGAGCCTACCTATCTCTCTCTTTAACTCTAATAATAGTTGCTTTATATAATCTGTGTGCTTCAATGTCAGGTACATATATGTTTACAATTGTTATATACTCTTGCTGAATTGACCCCTTTGCAACAATATGAATGAACCTGGAGGACATTATGCTAAATAAAAAAGCTAGTCAGAGAAGGGCAAGTAGTGTGTGGTTTCACTTATATTAAATATTTAAAATAGTTACCATCATAGAAGTAGAGAATAGAATGATGGTTACTAGGGGATGAGAGACAAGAACATGGGGAGTTTTTGTTCAATAAGTACAAAGTTTCATTTATGCAAGATGAATAAGTTATAAGAGATCTATTATAAAGCATAGTGCTTATAGTTTACAGTGCAGTATTGTGCACTGAAAAATTTGTTAAAAGTGTTGATCATATGTTGTGTTATAACAAGCACAAATAAGAAGCACAAGGAAACTTCTAGATGTAATGGTTATGTGTATTACTTTGTGGTGATATTTTCAAGGGTGTATGTATATATCATACTCATCAAATTTTTTTTCTTTTTTTTTCTTTTTTTTTTTTTTTTTTTGAGACAGAGTCTCGCTCTGTCGCCCAGGCTGGAGTGCAGTGCGCGATCTTGGCTTACTGAAAGCTCTGCATCCCGGGTTCACGCCATTCTTCTGTCTCAGCCTCCCGAGTAGCTGGGACTACAGGCACCTGCCACCAAGCCCAGCTAATTTTTTTTTATTTTTTTTTTAGTAGAGACGGGGTTTCACCGTGTTAGTCAGGATGGTCTCGATCTCCTGACCTCGTGATCCGCCCGCCTCAGCCTCCCAAAGTGCTGGGATTACAGGTGTGAGCCACCGCGCCTAGCCCATACTCCTCAAATTTTATACATTAAATATGTATATCAATTATACCTCAATGAAGCTGTATTTTTAAAAAAAGAAAATAATAATGTCTTTTGAAGTCCAATTATTCTCATTGATTGAATGTATGAAAAGGTATAGAAGAAAATTATTTGATTATTTTATTCTTTCAAAAGTCTTGTACCTACCATGTATAAAGTGACCTCAGTTCTCACTTCTGCAACTCATATACTAACATTGAAATAATACAGAGAAGATGAGCATGGCTCCTGCACAAGGATAAAGTGGCCTCAGAACACAAAAAGAGATGCACACTCTAAGTTATGAAAAATAATGTGTTTAGCGTATTTTGTTCTTGTTACCCCTTATAAATTCTTAAAATGTATTTGGAACGGTTATTTAAAAATAGCTTATGCAATATCCTACTGACCAATAAATTTGAACTACGAGCACATGCAGGAATTGCTTATTTTCAACATAAAGCTATAATGAAGGACATTACGATGTAAATGTAAAGTGTTTGGCAGGAAACTGAACATTTTATTAAAACTGAAGAAAAGTCTCCTAACCTAGATAAATACATGGTAAATACTTAATAATTTATTTTTCTGAATCCCTGGGAATAAGTATCAGACATAAAATAGAGGCTTTGTGGTGAGGATCACAATTTACAACCATCCACAGCTCTCTTTTCAATAGTTTATGCTCTCAAATAAACATATAAACATTTTACTTAGTTACACATAAAAAAGGAAAAAGTCCCTTATGAAGAGAAAATAAGTGAGCAGTAATATAGTTCATGTGAAATTTAGAACTATGGGTTTGACTAAATAGAAGCTGAATAAGCTACCTGGCTTATAATGAATTCCTTGCAAATCATGTCCATAGGAATCACAATTTTCCCGAGAGAAGTTTCCTCAGAGCCTCTTTCATATCCTTGTTCCTTAAAGTATAGATGATAGGATTTAAAGTGGGGGTCACCATGGTGTAGAAGAGGGAGATAAACTTCCCTTGGTCCTGGGCATAGCTGTCACTAGGTTGCAGGTACACGTAGATTATGGTGCCATAGAATATAATCACCACTGTAAGGTGGGAGGAGCAGGTGCTGAAGGCTTTGTGCCTTGCCTCTACTGATTTGATCCTCAGCACAGCTTGAGTTATGAAGCCATAGGAGATGGAGATGAGTGCTGGTGGAATGACAACAAACAGAACACTAACAACAAAAAGCACCAATTCATTGACAGTGGTGTCCACACAAGCCAACTTGAGAAGAGCTGGTACTTCGCAAATAAAATGGTCCAGCCTATGGTTGCCACAGAGAGGCAATTGCAAGGTAAAAGTTGCATGGATTAGGGAACTAGCCAAACCACTGAGCCAGGAGATAGATGCCAGCTGTTGGCAAAGCCGTGGGTTCATGATGACTACATAGTGGAGGGGTTTGCAGACAGCAATGTACCGATCCAAGGCCATGTCAGCCAAGAGGATACATTCAGTGGAGCCCAGTGCCAGAGAAATATAGAGTTGCGCCACACAACCACCGTAAGTGATCGTCTTCTTTGGTCTTTGCAAGTTAACTAAGGTCTGAGGAGCAAGGCTAGTAGTGAAGCAGATGTCCAGTAAAGAGAGGTTGCTGAGAAAAAAGTACATTGGGGTATGAAGAGGGGGATCCAGATATGAGATGATGATTATGGTGAAGTTTCCCACAAGGGTCAGGAGGTAGAAGAAAAGGACAAATACAAAGAGAACAGCCTCCAGACGAGGGTGGTCTGAGAAGCCTAGAAGGATGAAATCCATTAGGGAACTCTCATTGCCCAATCCCATCCCTCCAGGGGGATCCGCACCTAAGGCAGGAATGGAATGGGTACATCCAAAACAATTAAATTTAGAATAACAGAACACATGAGCTGAGAGGATCATGGAGACCAACTTTCCCAAACTATTCATTTTTCACCCTAAACTATTCATTTTTCACTAATGTGCTGCTGACTTGGAACATCAATCCATGTTTCTTCATTCCAGTTCAAAGGCTCATCTTTAAAAATTATGAATGATTACAACTTTGGAGTTGTCTGGGGATTGATTATTAAAGCCAATCAAAGTGCATATTTACATGCATATCAAAAAATCCACAATGACCTACCACTAAAAATAAATTTCTCTCAAAATACGGTGAACAGTATCTCCCTGATTTTCAACTGTCAATAAATTATCTGCATATGAAATACCTTACTCAGATTTGATTGTAAGCACAATCAGATGGGGAAGACTTTTTAGATAAAACTAATTAAAACAAAGACTTTAAAACCTTTAAAATGGGTATGATTGGTATGAAGGAGATAGAAAATCATTTTTGATATGTGTCACATTGGTACTAACTGGTGGAAAATGAAAAGACATATTTAAGGAACCAAAATATATGATATAAATTCAAATCATCTCATAAAAGTTTATTCAATGATTGAACTGCCAAAAAATAAAAATTAGTTTTAAAATTTTTTATTTATTTAGGCATTATTTAACCAAGTTGGCTAATAGTCCTTACTAGTGAAGAAAAATACATATACTCAAAGGAATATATATAATTATAAGAGTTAAAGATGCATTGCAGTATTCTTATAAATATAAAATTTGTTTGAAGGAACCCTGAGATAAATATATTAAAACTCCCTAACGTTTTGGCCAGATGCTGTGGCTCACCCCTTTAATCCCAGCACTTTGACAGGCTGAGTCACGTGGATCACTTGAGGTCAGGAGTTCGAGACCAGCCTGACCAACTTGGTGAAACCCCATCTGTAATAAAATACAAAAATTAGCCAAGTGTGGTGGTGTACACCTGTAGTCCCAGCTACTCAGGAGGCCGAGACAGGAGAATTGCTTGAACCTGGGAGGTGGACGGTTGCAGTGAGTCAAGATCGCACCACTGCACTCCAGCCTGGGAGACAAAGTGAGTGAGATTCCATCTCAAAAAATAAAAATAAAAATAAATAAAATTCCTTAACTTTCAAAATGTCAAAAACACAAAACAAATTATAAACAAAAATGAAAGTAATTTATGAGACTGTTGAAGAAAACTCAAAGTCATCTGGAGAATGTCGGAAGAGAATGTGTGAATGATTCACTTGTCTTTGTAAGAAGATTCAAAAAGAAATATTTTGCAAATTATGCATCTGACAAAGGACTAATATCCAGAATCTACAAGGAACTCAAGCAAATCAGCAAGAAAAAACAAATAATCCTATCAAAAAGTGGGCAAATGACATGAATAGACATTTCTCAAAAGAAGATATACAAATGACCAACAAACAAATTTTTTAAATGTTTAACATCACTAATAATCAGGGAAATGCAAATTAAAACCACAATGAGATTCTACCCTACCCCAGCCAGAATGGCCACTATTATAAAGTCAAAAAACAATAGATGTTGGCGTGGATGTGGTAAAAAGGGAATGCTTATCCACTGCTGGTGGGAATGTAAATTAGTATAACCTCTATAGAAAACAGTATGGAGATTTTTCAAAAAAACAAAAGTAGATCTAAAATTCAATCCAGCAATCCCACTACTGGGTATCTACCCAAAGGAAAAGAAGTCATTATATCAAAAAGACATGCACATGTGTATGTTTATCGCAGCTCAATTCACAATTGCAAGGATCTGTAACCAACCTAAGTGCCCATAAACCGATGAGAGGATAAAGTAAATGGGTTATACATCATGGAATACTACTAAACCATGAAAAAAATGAAATAATGCCTCTCAGCAACTTGGATGGAGCTGGAGGTCACTATTCTAAGTGAAGTAACTCAGAAATGGCAAATATTGTATGTGCTCACTTACAGGTGGGAGCTAAGCTATGGGTATGCACAGGCACACACAGTGGTATAATGGACATTGGGAACTGAAAAGGTGAGAGAGTGGGAGGGGAGTAGGGGATTTAAAAAACTACATATTAGGTGCAGTGTACACTACTCAGGTGATAGGTGCGCTAAAATCTCAGACTTCACCACTAGGCAGTTCATCCAGGTAACCAAAAACTACTTGTACCCTCAAAGCTATTGAAATTTTAAAATATAGTTTTTTGTTTGTTTTGTTTTTATTTCTTTACTTATTCATTTATTTTTAATCGACAAATTAAAATTGTATATAATGATCATGTACAACAAGATAAATACTGTTTTTTAAAAAAATATAGTTTTTTTCTGGGCCTTTTTCACATAATATGCTCCAAAATATGAGGTAGGTAGTAGTGTTCTAATTCTACAGATGAAAAATGTTTAAAATACGTGCCCCAAATTACTCAATTTTAAGTTTATGGGGCTGGATAAAGCCCAACCCAGAGTTAGGCTTAATATTTCCCTAAAGGCAGCTCATATACTTGACTCCATAAGCACCTTTGGCACCTAGGACACGTGTATTTAATTTTCTTGTGCAAAAGGGTAAATGGAGTTACCTGTGGCCACTCCAACTGTCTTTCCACCACTTCAGCCAGCTAAAGTTACTGCTGTGTCCTCAGGACCTATCAAAGGGCCTGACCCACAGCTGGGCTCAGTGAATACTATGGAATGAATGAGTCAGTATTTAATCAAAAGCTGATCACATAATACCACTATTATTATGGATTTTTTTATTATTCTTTAAGTTCTAGGGTACATGTGCACAAAGTGCAGGTTTGTTACATAGGTATACATGTGCCATGTTGGTTTGCTGCACCTATCAACTCGTCATTTACATTAGGTATTTCTCCTAACGCTATCCCTCCCCCAGTCCCCCATCCCACAACAGGCCCCTGTGTGTGATGTTCCCTTCTCTGTGTCCATGTGTTCTCATTGTTCAATTCCCACTTATGAGTGAGAACATGCGGTGTTTGGTTTTCTGACCTTGTGATAGTTTGCTGAGAATGATGGTTTCCAGCTTCATCCATGTCCCTGCAAAGGACATGAACTCATCCTTTTTTATAGCTGCTTAGTATTCTATGGTGTATATGTGCCACAATTTTTTTATCCAGTCTATTGTTGATGGACATTTGGGTTGGTTCCAAGTGTGAGTAGTGCCACAATAAACATACGTGTGCATGTGTCTTTATAGTAGCATGATTTATAATCCTCAAAACTTGTACCCTCAAAGCTATTGAAATTTTAAAACAGTTTTTTGTTTGTTTTGTTCTTATTTCTTTACTTACTTTGTTTTTATTTCTTTATTCATTTATTTTTAACTGACAAATTAAAATTGTATATATTTATCATGTACAACACGATAAATACTGTTTTATTTAAGTATAGTTTTTTTTTAAAAAAGATTCAAAAAGGTGAGTGCTGAAGGTATGCTTAGAAAATAAAATACTTGGAGTCAAACTGTAGAAATCACTGGGTGAAATAAAGTTCTTAGCTTTGCTGTGCAGGCAGTAAGATGTTGTTAAAGGCTCTGAGCACACAAGAGAGTAATATTTTCTGTTTCCATTTTGGAAATATTGGTGCATTGATAGGAAGATGGGTAGGGAAGATATTGATGTGAGGGAGTTCAGGTAGGGATAGTTCAATAGTTCTCATGATATTAACTAGGTTCGTGTCATGTGAATAGCCTGAGAATTACCAAAATGACAACATTAACTGAATGAAAGTCAATGGGAAGAAAATTAATGGAATGAAAATGACAAAATTAACCTAATACTGACTTTTAAATGGAAAGGGAGGTAAACTGAGGATATAAGATGATTTCGTGCTTTTCTTTCAGAATGAGGAAAGTAGGGATACGTGAAATCACAGGACAATTCCTATTCTCACTAATTGTTGTATAACTTACCAAGACTCCCAAATCAAAATGTGTTTCAGAATCTCATCAGCCAAGGTTATTCTTCCTGCTTGTTGTAAAATGTTAGCATAACATTTGAGTAAGGTGATTGTGTCTAATGTGCATATTTACATTCCCTTCAGAGCCAGCTGTGGGTTCTTTCCTCGCACCAGAGCCAGATGGAATGTTTGCAGAATGCCTGTAGAAATGTTAGTTTGTGCTAAACTCAGACACTTTTTTTTTTTACCATTTTAGACATTTCTAATTTATATTCTCCCTATAATTGAGAATCTTTACATTAAGTATGGCAAAATAAATAATAAATAGAAAAATATACATATTAGTACAAGTATAGAGAAGAGAATGATCACAAACACATTTAGAGAAGATGGCAGAAAGCAAGCTGAGCCCTTACATTCAGCTATGCCGTGTGTGTGTGTGTGTGTGTGTGTGTGTGTGTGTGTGTGTGTGTTTACCTTTTAATTTCAGGCATACATGTGCAGGTTTGTTACATAGGTGAACTTTTGTTATGGGGCTTTGTTGTAATATTATTTTGTCACCCAGGTATCAAGCCTAGTACTAATTAGTTATATTTTTCCTGTTCCTTTCCCTCCTTTCACCCTCCACTCTCTGGGAGGCCCCAGTGTGTGTTGTTCCCCTCTATGTGTCCATGTGTTCTCATCATTTACCTCCCACTTATAAGTGATGACATGTGGTATTTGGTTTTCTGCTCCTGCGTTAGTTTGCTAAGCATAATGGAGCTATGGCTTTTCTTATGCTGCTTCCCATGACAATGATAATCTTCTCCAACCCCCTTCACCAGGCAGTTATCTACACACTTTTAAGACTCAGTATTTCTCACGAACATACAAAGTCCTCTTTGACTCTGATTAGCACTCCTCTCTCATACATCCCTCCACCCAACCTTGGTGAGGCTTATTTTGTGTTCATTCCGTACCCTAAACTTACCTCTACAATAAAAAACTCCAATACCATACTGACCTAATGTTTTATGACCGTATGTATCTACTAAACCATAACCTACTTCTTAAACTGAGGGGTCATGTTCTACTGATACTTTATGGAATTTATATGATATCAAATGCATACTAATGTGTCAATAAATGCTTGATGAAGAAATGAATGCATTTTTCATGTGTCCTATTTCCCAGTCAGACTCTGTTGAATCTTCCTGGACGGAAGATACTGGGAAAAGAAGTGGTTAATATTGGTGGATCAGCTGACCTGGGGAGAGAGCTGAGCTATAAGGTGTCAGAGGACCCTAAAGCAGCAAGGAACCAAAATGAAAGTTACCGTGAAGCCTCTAATCACTGACTATGATAATGCATTCCAGTGTATAACACTGGAAGAAGCATCAGCTCCTCCTAATCCCTTCCCATCCCGCTACCTCACCTCTCATGCAGTGGTGCTTGGTGAAGGTAAATCAGCACAGATGCGAAGGTCATGTCACTGTCGAGGGTTCCATGAACGAAAGGCCCCTGCAATTTTATGGATCCCCAAACCAGGGAGCGTGAGAAAGGGAAAGGGCTACATGTGGTAAAGTACTGAATACTGAGTCAAAGATAGGAAAGTTGTCTTTAAGTTTCTCCCCTTCTCCTGCCTTACAAGAAGGCTCTGCCTACAGCACCAGACAAAGTGCAAGGAATAAAGATGAGCAAGGAATAAAGACGCTTAAGATATAAATGTGATTATGCAAAAGAACATGACAAGCCAGAGAGGTCAGAGCGAACCCTTGACTGCAACTCCCTCCAGAGTCTTCAACGCGCTGGCTGTGCCGAACACTGAGGTGGGGAGGCAGCTTTCCCCTATCCGTACTTTTCCACATCTAGCCCTTACCCTTTCTCATGGTCCCTGGATCCATAAAACTGCAGGAGCCTTTTGTTCATGGAACCCTCAACAGCGATATGAGCTCACATCTGTGCTGATTTACCTCAGCTTTCACCAAGCACCATTGCATGCCAAGTCCTTGCAATTCCCCCCAAAACAGGTTTTTAACCACAAGCCAACCCCTTAAATACCTGTGTGCTGCCATGCCACTCAGCCCTTGTTCATTATTCTAACCATCTGCCTGAATAAAGCTTTAAGACAGACGACTGAAAAATCATAATCGTGTCCTCTCTCAATCTGGAGAATCCAACTTAAGACCGATGCGTTTCTGGTCTAGTCCATCTTCCAGATGCTCTGGTCTTCCATAGTTACTTGACCAGTTGGTGAAAATATGAGACCAATGGCTACAGATTTCCTAGTGTCTGTTCACGTGTTTTAAGACCAGATTGGAAGTTGCCCACCTGATCAGTAAAGCACTCAGTCTGTTTAAGTAAGTGTCCTCTACCCATACATATTCTTGCTAACCATCAAATTTTACTAAAATACAATTACTTCATGAGAAGGAAACACAGAAATTACAGCAGTGTTAATAGAGTCGAGAAACAGTGGTCCTCTGGAAAACATTTTATTTCTACTCAATGAAATCCAACCCAATAATTTAAACCCTCAATCATTTTGGTTAAATTGTAATTCAACTATCCCTCTGTTTCAGCTGGCGAAGAGCTTACAATTTCAAAGGTTAGCAGTGGTGCACTACTTGAGGAAGCTTCCTCTGCAGTACTTCTCTTGAGTGATTTTTTTACAGAAGGCTGAAATTACCTCGAATTGAGTGTTCCACTTGTGTTATAGTTGTGTTTTTGTGGAATTGAGTGTGTGCTAAATCTATCAACTAAGTTGTTTCTATAAGTAAAATTTATCCCCAAAATGCTAATTATACTAATTAATTGCATGATACTAACTTGTACTTACGAAGACTAACAAGAAATTGCCCTATCTTTATATTCGATAAATGAAAGCAGAAGTCCAGATAGTTTACCTGTGTCACGCAACATTATTACTTTAACGATACAGCAAATCCAACAGTAATGAAAGCAATAAAGTTTCTACCTATTAACTTTTATGAACTTCTTTAAGAAATGATTGCATTCAATTTAGATTACACCAGATTGAATTCTTACTTACACTCAGGAATATTTAAAGGTGTCGGTGTTTTTCACATCTTCAGGATGCAAGTCATATAACATTTTCTTAGCTTTGTTATTTTGTGTCCAGCCTGCTGTTGACCCACAAGACAACTGGCTTCAAAAAACAATCTGTTCAAGATTTATATTTCTCGCCTGAGTTTATCCTGAGGAAATTATGTTAGTGGCAATGAAAACTTGGAGAAAAAGGGAAGCAGAAACAGTGAATTTTGCAAATTTACAAAATTGCCATGATTTGTTTTTACCACGTCTTCTGGGAAAAACCTGCATCCCCAGTAGGCAATTAGTGGAGGAACTGACTAGCTTCTTTGGATCATCAAGGAACAATAATACACATATTTCCCCAGTGTGAAGTATTCCTTTCTTCAGTATTATTCTGGCACCTCGTACTTCACATAGGAAATAGAAGCCATCAAACTTGTCCAACGTGAAAGAGCGAAAAGAAAACCCACTTAAGTCTTCTGTGTCCCTCCTCCTTCACTCTAGTTACCATAGAGAAGATCTTCGTCATCCCCTTTAAAGAGAATCTCTTTGCCCGTACTTTGGATTTCTAACCTTGAGCATCATTCTCTTAGAACTGAGATACTTTATATTAAAGCTATCATAACAAATGCCTAGAATAACTGTCTCTTTTGCAATCTCTTCTTACTCTCTTAAGCCCTTAATGGTTGGATTCATCAGTCCCAGTCCAGCGGGACTGATCTTCTAACAAATTAAATTTTCTCTTATCGGAAACTATATGCTTATTGCTATGTTAATTATGTGTAGATTTCTCTACTGAGGACTAGATTCATGTATCCTATTTTGAAACTACCATCTCCACTAGGTGAGACACCTCAAATGCACTGTGTTCAAATCTAAACCCTTGCTCTCTCCATTTTGTTTGCTGTAAAAGTGAATAATGTCACTATTATCCAATTATGCAAGCTAGAAATTTAGGCCCATCTTTGATGTAACTGTCAATAACTTTATCTACTAGGTATAAAAGAGTTAGGACTGAAATTCAAAACTATTCTTCTGAGTCTGGTGATCTTTGTACTACAGTCACTTGGGAGGTTATTTGACATATTGAAATTGTTAGTTTTTCATATGTTCAACCTCTTGTATAATCACTGTATTTTTTAGACTTCCTTCCTGAACTCTTTCCCCTCTGAATTCATAGCCTGTTTTTAATTTTTAAAACGTATATGTAGGCCGGACGCGGTGGCTCACGCCTGTAATCCCAACACTCTTGGAGGCCAAAGTGGGTGGATCATGAGGTCAGGAGATTGAGAGCATCCTGGCTAACATGGAAACCTGTCTTTACTAAAAAATACAAAAAAATTAGCGGGGCGTGGTGGCAGGCGCCTGTAGTTCCAGCTACTCTGGAGGCTGAGGCAGCAGAATGGCGTGAACCCGGGAGGCGGAGCTTGCAGTGAGCCAAGATTGTGCCATTGCACTCCAGCCTGGGTGACAGAGGGAGACTCCATATCAAAAAAAAAAAAGTATATGTAGTGGTAAAATATTTATTAAATTATATGTATATAAGCATATATGTAAAATAAAATATAAAGTGATAAAATATACACAACAAAAAACTCACCATTCTAATAACTAATCATTTCAACTTTTATCATACATTAAAGGGAACAAGTACAGGTTTGTTACATGGGTAAAAGGCATGACGTGTAAAATGCATGACACTAAGGCTTGGGGTCCCAGTGATTCCATCCCAGGAAGTGAGCATGATATACAACAGGTGGTTCTTCAGCCAATAGCCCACTTCCTCCCTCCACATCTGTTGGTCCCCAGTATCCATTGTTCCTAACTTTATTTATTTATTTATTTATTATTATTATTACACTTTAAGTTTTAGGGTACATGTGCACAATGTGCAGGTTAGTTACATATGTATACATGTGCCATGCTGGTGCGCTGCACCCTCTAACTCGTCATCTAGCATTAAGTATATCTCCCAATGCTATCCCTCCCCCCTCCCCCCACCCCACAACAGTCCCCAGAGTGTGATGTTCCCCTTCCTGTGTCCATGTGTTCTCATTGTTCAATTCCTACCTCATGTGTATTCAGTGTTTAGCTCCCACTTATAAGTGAGAACATGCAATCTTTGGTTTTCTGTTCTTGCATTAGCTCACTTAGGATAATGGCCTCTAGCTCCAACTATGTTGCTGTAAAGTACACATTTTTATTATTTTTTGTAACTACCTAGTATTTCATTGTATATCACATGTCTACCACATTTTCTTTATCCAATCCTCTGCTTGAGCACCTAGGTTGATTCCATGTCTTTGCTAGTATAAATAGCGTTGCAACATACAGGTGCATGTGTCTTTTGGATAGAATGAATTATCTTCCTTTGGGTATATACCCAGGAGTGGAATTGCTGGGTCAAATAGTGGCTCTATTTTAAGTTCTTTGAGAAATCTCCAAACTGCTTTCGAAGTGGCTGAACTAGTTTGCATTCCCACTAACAGTGTATAAGCGTTCCCTTTTCTCCACAGCCTCACCAGCATCTGCTGTTTTTTGACTTTTTAATAATCAGTATTCTGACTGGTATAAGATGGTACCTCACTGTGGTTTTGATTTACATTTCTCTGATAATTAGTAATGTTGACCACATTTTCATGTTTATTGGCTGCTCATATGTCTTCTTTTGAGACATGTCTGTTCATGTCCTTTGCCCATTTCTAATTGGATTTTTTTGGGGGGGTGGTTTGCTTGTTGATTTAAGTTCCTTGTAGATTCTGGATATAAGACCTTTGTCAAATGCACAGTTTGTGAATATTTTCTCTCACTCTGTAGATTGTCTGTTCACCCTGTTGGTAATTTTTTTTTTTTTTTTTTTTTTTTGCTGTTCAGAAGCTCTTTAGTATAGTTAGGTTCAGCTTGTAAATGTTTTGTTTTGTTGCAATTGCTCTTGGGAACTTAGTGATAAATTCTTTGCCAAGACTGATGTACAGAATGGTGTTCTTTAGGGTTTTTTCTAGGATTTCTATAGTTTGAACTTACATTTAAGTCTTTAATCTTGATTTAATTTTTGTATGTGGTGAAACGTAGGGGTACAGTTTCCTTCTTCTGCATGTGGTTAGCCAGTTATACCAGCACCATTTATTGACTAGGGAGTCCTTTTCCCACTGCTTATTTTTATTGATTTTGTTGAAGATCAGATAGTTGCAGGTTCGTGAATTTATTTCTAGGTTCTCTATTCTGTCCCACTGGCCTATGTGTCTGTTTATGTACCAGTACCATGCCATTTTGGTTACTGTAGCCTTATAGTATAGTTTGAAGTTAGGTAATATGACATAATAAAAAATGATAAAGGTGATATCACCACTGATCCCACAGAAATACAAACTACCACCAGAGAATAGTATAAACACCTCTATGCAAATAAACTAGAAAATTTTTTAAAAATGGAAAAATTCCTGGACACATACACCTTCCCAGGACTAAACCAGGGAGAAGTCGAATTCCTGAATAGACCAATAATGAGTTCTGAAATTGAGATAGTAATTAATAGCCTACCAACCATAAAAAGCCCAGGACCAGACAGATTCACAGCTGAATTCTACCAGAGGTACAAAGAGGAGCCAGTACCATTCCTGCTGAAACTATTCCAAACCACAGAAAAAGAGAGACTCCTCCCTAATTCATTTTATGAGGCCAGCATCATCCTGGTACTAAAATCTGACAGAGACACAACATAAAAAGAAAATTTCAGGCCAATATCCCTGATGAACATTGATGCAAAAATCCCCAATAAAATGCTGGCAAACCAAATACAGCAGCACATCACAAAGCTTATCCACCACAACCAAGTCGGCTTCATCCCTGGGATCCAAGACTGGTTCAACATATGCAAATCAATAAACATAATTTATCACATAAACAGAACCAATGACAAAAACCACATGATTATCTCAGTAGATGCAGAAAAGGACTTTGATAAAACTCAACACCACTTCATGCTAAAAACTCTCAATAAACTCGGCATTGATGGAACATATCTCAAACTAATAAGAGCTATTTATGACAAATCCATAGCCAATATCATACTGAATGGGCAAAAGCTGGAAACATTCACCTAGAAAACTGGCACAAGACAAGGATGCCCCCCTCACCACTCCTATTCAGCATGGTATTGGAGGTTCTGGTCAGGGTTATCAGGCAAGATAAGAAAATAAGGGATATTCAAATACGAAGAGAGGAAGTTAAACTGTCTACATTTGCAGATGACATGATTGTATATTTAGAAAACCCCATCATCTCAGCCCAAAAACTCCTTAAGCTGATAAGCAACTTCAGCAAAGTCTCAGGATACAAAATCAATGTGTAAAAATCACAAGCATTCTTATACACCAACAATAGACAGGCAGAGAGCCACATCATGAGTGAACTCCCATTCAAAATTGATACAAAGAGAATGAAATACCTAGGAATACAATTTCCAAGGGACATGAAGGACTTCTTCAAGGAGAACTACAAACCACTGCTCAAGGAAATCAGAGAGGACACAAAGAAATGGAAAAAAATTTCATACTCATGTACAGAAACAATCAATATTGTGAAAACGGCCATACTATCCAAAGTAATTTATAAATTCAATGCTATTCCCATCAGGCTACCATTGACTTCTTTACAGAATTAGAAAAAAACTATGTTAAATTTCATATGGAACCAAACAAGAGTTCATATAGCCAACACAATCCTAAGCCAAAAGAACAAAGCTGGAGGCATCATGCTACTTGACTTCCAACTATACTACAAGGCTACAGTTACCAAAACAGCATGGTACTGGTACCAAAACAGATATATAGACCAGTGAAAAAGAACAGAGGCTTCAGAATTAACACCACACATCTACAACCATCTGATCTTCGACAAACCTGACAAAAACAAACAATGAGTAAAGGATTCCCTATTTAATAAATGGTGCTGGGAAAATTGGCTTAACCATATGCAGAAAACAGAAACTGGACCCCTTCCTTACATCTTATACAAAGATTAACTCAAGATGGATTAAAGAGTTAAACCTAAAACCTAAAACCATAAAAACCCTAGAATAAAACCTAGGCAATACCATTCAGGACATAGGCATGGGCAAAGACTTCATAACTAAAACACCAAAAGCAATTGCAAGAAAAGCCAAAATTGACAAATGGAATCTAATTAAACTAAAGAGCTTCTGTACAGCAAAGGAAACTATCATCAGAGTGAACAGGCAACCTACAGAATGGGAGAAAATTTTTGCAATCTATCCATCTGACAAAGGTCTAATACCCAGAATCTACAAAGAACTTAAATTTACAAGAAAAAAACAAACAACCCCATCAAAAGAAGACATTTATGCAGCCAACAAACATAGGAAAAAAAGTTCATCATCACTGGTCGTTAGAGAAATGCAAATCAAAACCACGATGAGACACCATCTCATGCCAGTTAGAATGACAATCATTAAAAAGTCAGGAAACAGGCCAGGTGTGGTAGCTCATGCCTGTAATCCCAGCACTTTGGGAGGCCAAGTCAGGCAGATCATGAGGTCGGGAGATCAAGACCATCCTGGCTAACACGGTGAAACCCCATCTCTACTAAAAATACGAAACATTAGCCAGGCGTGGTGGCAGGTGCCTGTAGTCCCAGCTACTTGGGAGGCTGAGGCAGGAGAATGGCGTGAACCCGGGAGGTGGAGATTGCAGTGAGCCAAGATCGCACCACTGCACTACATGCTGGGCGACACAGCAAGACTCTGTCTCAAAAATAAAAAAAAAAAAAGGAAACAGCAGATGCTGGAGAGGATGTGAAGAAATAGGAATGCTTTTGCACTGTTGGTGGGAGTGTAAATTACTTCAACCATTGTGGAAGACAGTGTGGCAATTCCTCAAGGATCTAGAACCAGAAATACCACTCGACCCAGCAATCCCATTACTGGATATATACCCAAATGATTATAAATCATTCTACTATAAAGACACATGCACATATATGTCTATTGCAGCACTATTTACAATAGCAAAGACTTGGAACCAACCCAAATGCCCATCAATGAAACACTGGATAAAGAGAATGTCGCACATATACACCATGGAATACTATGCAGCAATAAAAAAGGATGAGTTCATGTCCTTTGACATGGATGAAGCTGGAAACCATCATCCTCAGCAAACTAACACAGGAACAGAAAACCGAACACCACATGTTCTCACTCTTAAGTGGGAGTTGAACAGTGAGAACACATGGACTCTAGGAGGGGAACATCATACACCAGGGCCTGTCAGGGGATTGGGGGAAAGGGGAGGGAGAGCATTAAGACAAATACCTAATGCATGTGAAGCTTAAAACCTAGCTGACGGGTTGATGCGTGCAGCAAACCACCATGGCACATGTATACCTATGTAACAAACCTGCATGTTCTGTACACCTATCCCAGAACTTAAAGTAAAATTTTTAAAAAAAGAAAAAAAAATTTTCATCTCCAAAAATGGGGGATATTCTTATATTGCATGTACTTCACCATCACTGTTCCTTTCCTAACCCAAGTCTTAACTCATTTTATTGTTAGTGCCTGTTTAATTGCATCCTTGTTGCACTATAATCTACGATTCCAATATTCCGATCCCAGTTCCCAGGGCAAGCTTAATTTACATTTGATAAGCAAACTTATTAATGTATGAAGTATATGTCTCCATGAAAGGTGACAAAATAAACATAAATAGAAATCCCACTTTATGCAAGTCTTCTTTTGAAAAAGTATCATTGATTAGAAAGTGAAGTTCCAATATAAAATTTTTATAGCTACAGATCCTACTTACTCTACAAATATTTTATCCAATATAGTTTAAAAGCATTAGGCATAATTTACTAAAAATCCACAGCAAACAATGATAGAGCATTATTTTTATTTTGGCAACATAAGGAGGAACTTTGTCACTTGACAAAGTACCATAGTACCATAGTACCATTTGGTAGTACTCAAGAGAAATCTGCCTATGTTTGTAAGCATATTTTTGAAGTTTGTCAGCTTACAAATTGGATTTTTCAAAGTCAGGGTACTTGTTGGTGTCAAAATATTGCAGGAAGAGAGATTGTTGCTTCTAATATTGGAGAAGAATGTGGTGTTCCTGGAAAGGGATTGAAGGGCCAGCATAAAGAAAAAAGAACGATAAGGAAGATTCAAATGCTTTCAGTGCATGCTCTGTCACATCTGTGTTATCTCTGCTTAAAACATAATCTTATTTAAAGTGTTCTAAACTCATGAGAGTTTTATAAAGAGCAAAAGATCATAGTTACTCTAAAAATAAAAGCCCTCAGAAAATTTTGGGAAGTTTGGGAGAGTTTGGAAAACAGCAGGCACTATAATTGGTTGGATACAGAACCATATTAACCAGATTTGGAAGGTCAAGATAAAGCTCCAGCTGATATCTTGACAGCATTGCCTTAGGCAAAGTCTTCTACAGGAAACTCTTTCCTTTCCTTACCCATCCTCTCCCCTTTAGTCCTCCAGGGTTGCTTCTTAGCTTTACTGAGGTGGCAAATTAAATGCCACTTTCCCAGGAAGCCTTCAGTTAGCTCCTTGATAATCAATTGCATAACACACTATTTTTTTCATAGACCTTATTCCAGTTTCATTTTCATGGTTACCTTGCAGTTTGTTTTGTTTTGTTTTGGGGGGTTTGTTTGTTTGTTTGTTTTGTTTTTGAGACGGAGTGTTACTCTGTTGCCAGGCTGGAGTGCAGTGGCGCGATTTCAGCTCACTGCAAACTCCGCCTCCCGAGTTCAAGCGATTCTCCTGCCTCAGCCTCCCGAATAGCTGGCATTACAGGCACGTGTCACCATGCCCAGCTAATTTTTGTATTTTTGTTTTTTAGGTTCATCTTTTCTAACAGCAATGAGTTCAGGGTGGGTATATACCGTTTATTTCTAGTTTTCTCCCTATACTTAGCAACTAGCACTGCATGTGATATTCAGTACTTGCACATCAAAAATGTAACAAACTGGTAAATAAACAACTGAGGGACACTGAAAGGATAGACACTCAAAGGACAGAAGACATACAGTGCATTATCTTACTAATTATGCCTCTGCTTCTGAAGAGTTATAAACAACAACTCATTCTCTAACGTTTAATACTATATTTAAAATGATCACCACATTTGGACTTAAAAGACCCTTCTACAATATCCTTCCTCATCTCACTGAATTCATTTATTTATTTTGATGTAAGTTTGAACAGAGGACATAGTTTCCTACTACAGAGTATACAACCCAATGCCTGCTATAATGCAGTGAAATAGGAAGTATAATACCATGAGTTCACACAACGTTTTCTAGACTCAAAATGCAAAAATTCCTTATTTCCAGAAAAAGAATGGTATGGGCCATTTAGAGTGAAGCCATGGGAAATGAAGTTCAGTATTTTAGTGCAAATAATTTAAACAATTTGGTTAAGGTTTTATCTGGAAGATATATCTCAAAATTATGAAAATGTTTCATATACAGAAATGCAGATATAATAACAATGTGTTATTATTTGTGTATCCATGTGAGCCATAGAAAATTTTACAGCTGTGTTTTTTCTGTAGACTGAGACTCCAGTGTTAGGCAGTTCAAACTATTTCTTGATGCAACTACACAACCAGAGAACTGGGCTTTCATCTACTTTCCACATCACCTTTAAAGTGTGCCCTTTGTCTTTGTGTTGTATTTGCATGTCTACACATCTCTTCCACATGTTAAGAGGATGGCATATAGGGTGCAATTTAAAAATTTGCCTCATTACAGCTTGATCAACACGCATGCATCTCAGCTACATTCTTGGAAGGGAATAAGCTATGTGTCCATCTACAGGAAGGCTCAGAGATTAATGCGTTATTAGCAACCAAAAAAAAAAGCTGGCTGACATAAACATTTCTTGAATATGTTCATGCCTATCTTAATCCAGTAAAGTATTTATTTAAAAGTAGTTTCAAATGTACTACACAAATGATATATTCTGCAGCAAAGGCACTGAAGCATAGATTGACTAAAGGACTCACCTTATACTGCTACTGGGTAATGGCCAAGTTGCGACTTTATAGACATATGTTTCATGTATGTATGTAGACATATATTCCATAGTATTTTACATAATGCAAAATGTCGTACAAATATTTAATCAAAAGAAAATGTGAGAAGAGCCCATAAAAAATCCTCTTATTAAAAGATGCTACTTTTTACCAAAAAAAAAATTCATCACAGTGTCACTTAAATTTTTTTTTAATAATCATAAAATATTTACTCCCAGAGCCTTTGCTAGAACTTTCTTTAATGCCCCTTTCACCTCCTTGATCCTCAAGGTATAAATAAGAGGGTTAAGCATGCGGGTTACCACAGTGTAGAAGAGAGAAACAAACTTGCCCTGGTCCCTGGATCTACTCTTGGCTGGCTGCAGATACATGAAGATGATGGTTCCATAAAAGATGGTGACCACTGTCAGGTGGGAGAAGCAGGTCCCGAATGCTTTCTGTCTCCTGGTAGCTGACTTAATCCTCAACACTGCGTGGGCAATGTAGCCAGAGGAGACCAGGATGAATGAGACAGGCACTATAAGGAAAAGGATACTAGCCACAAAAAGCTCAGCCTCGTTAAACGTGGTGCCCACACAAGCCAGCTTGATGAGCACAGGGACCTCGCAGATGAAATGATCCACTTGGCGATGCCCACAGAAGGGCAGCTGCAGGGTGAGGGTGGACTGTACCAGGGTGGTGGCTATTCCACTGAGCCATGCCATAGATGCCAAGGCCATGCAGAGATGGATATGCATTAAGACAGTGTAATGGAGAGGACGGCAGACAGCCACATAGCGGTCACAGGACATCACAGCCGGGAGGACGCACTCAGTGGATCCCAGGGCATGGGAGTTGTAAAGGTGAACCAAACAGCCACCATAGGCGATAGTTTTCATGGGTTCCCACAGGTTTACCAGGAGCTGGGGAATAACACTGCTGGTGAAGCAGCGGTACAGGAAGGAGAGATGAGAAAGGAAGAAATACATCGGCATATGAAGCTTGGGTTCCAGACGAGAAACCAGAATGATGGTGGTATTCCCCAAAATAGTTAGTAAATACAGAATCAATATGAGCACAAATAGAACCTTCTGTAACTGAGGATAATCAGAAAACCCTAAAAGGATGAAACCTGCTAGGTTGCTCTCATTGGTATGTCTCACCATCCCCATATGTAAAGTGTGTTCCCCAAGGCTGAGGCATAGCTGAGAAAGATAACACATCACATAGGGTTAAATGAGTGACAATGTCACCTGCCTACCCAAAAAAGTATTGTATGTTAAATGCTTAGAAGCTATGTCTTTACATCCAGTGACTTAGATCTATTTATTTTCCGAATATGTGCATTATAAATAAATGCAATACACATCCTTCAAATATCTTAGCTGTTCTTCAATGCTTTCCGAAGCAGAGAAGAGCAAGAGCAGACATTAGGAAACATCATCATCTTTTGCAGGAAATAAATTTGACCCTTCCTTTAAAATAAATTTCCCCTTTTATATTAATGTATTTCAAGTTACAGAAAAAGGGAGTCTCGAGATACCATCTCACACCAGTTAGAATGGCGATCATTGAAAGTCAGGAAACAACAGGTGCTGGAAAGGATGTGGAGAAATAGGAACACTTTTACACTGTTGGTGGGACTGTAAACTAGTTCAACCATTGTGGAAGTTGGTGTGGCGATTCCTCAGGGATCTAGAACTAGAAATACCATCTGACCCAGCCATCCCATTACAGGGTATATACCCAAAGGATTATAAATCATGCTGCTATAAAGACACATGCACACGTATGTTTATTGGGGCACTATTCACAATAGCAAAGACTTGGAACCAACCCAAATGTCCAACAATGTTAGACTGGATTAAGAAAATGTGGCACATAGACACCATGGAATACTATGCAGCCATAAAAAAGGATGAGTTCATGTCCTTTGTAGGGACGTGGATGAAGCTGGAAATCATCATTCTCAGCAAACTATCTCAAGGACAAAAAACCAAACACCGCATATTCCCACTCATAGGTGGGAATTGAACAATGAGAACACATGGACACAGGAAGGGGAACATCACACACCGGGGACTGTTGTGGGGTGGGGGGACGGGGGAGGGATAGCATTAGGAGATATACCTAACGCTAAGTGACGAGTTAATGGGTGCAGCACACCAACATGACACATGTATACAAATGTAACGAACCTGCACATTGTGCACATGTACCCTAAAACTTAAAGTATAATAATAATTAAAAAAAGAAAAAGGTTTTAATAATCACAAGACCTATTTGTGTACATTGGAAAGGAATCAAAATTTTAAAAATGGGTATTAAATATGTCACTCCATCAGTTACTAACAGTGATAAAAAAAAAAAAAGAACTAATGTGCAGCCTAAATTACTTCTCAAATACTGGATCCCTAAAAGGCTAAAAGAAAATAGTTTATGAAGAAAAGGGCAAAGAAGAAAGAACAACAATGGCACTTAAATAATAAAAGAAATCCCAGCGACTTGGGAGGCCAAGGTGGGAGGACAGCTTGAGGCCAGGAGTTTGAGACCAGCCCTTGCAACATAGCAAGACACTGACTCTCCAAAAAAAATTTAAAAATTGGCTGGTCATGGTCCCACGCACCTGTAGTCCCAGCTACTCAAGAGACTGAGGCAGAAGTGTCGCTTCACAGGAGTTCGAGGTTGCAGTGAGCTATGATCATGCCACTGCATTTCAGCCTGGGCAACAGAGTAAGACCCTATCTCTTAAAAAAAAGTAAATTCAAGTAACAAATAAAGGAATAAATAGTAAAATAATGAAAATAAAGTTAAAGAATTAAGACAAATCATGTCAGTATAGGCACACAATGATTGCTCATAGATGATTATAAATATGAGTGAAATAAATACATCAATCACTTAAGGGATGAGTGCTCCAATTAATAGAAAAAGGCATGTCATAGGCTAGGGTAAAAAAAAACTAAACTCAAATTTATACAGCCTGTTTGAAACAAACAATACAGTCAATTAAAGAAAGAAAAGAAAACATTTTTAAAAATTAAATTAGAAAAATTCAATATAATTTAATTTTGAGATAACAACAAAACTGACAAAACAGGACAATTTTATTGATTAAAGATTGAATCTACAATGAACATATGGATGTACTAAAATGTTATGTCCCAAGCAGGCAACAAATTGTGTAAATCAAAAACTGTTAGGACCAATTGCATAAAAATTAAAACATGTTTTTTAAAAAGAAACTGAAAGTGGAAAAAACCAAAATATGCCATCCAAAAAGAAGTCTCTTTTTAAAAATAGTTTAAACATTAATTTTAGTTTCAGGGTGTACATGTGCAGGTTTCTTACCTGGGTATATTGCATGATGCTGAGGTTTGGTGTATGATTGATCCTGTCACCCAGACACAGCATAGTACCCAGCAGTTACTTTTTCAGTCCTTTCCCTTCTCCCTTTCTCTGCCCTCTAGCAGTCCCTGCATCTGTTGTTCCCATCTTTATGTTCATGTGTACATATTGTTTAGCTCCCACTTATAAGTAAGAACATGCAGTGTTTAGTTTTCTGTGCCTGCATTAATTAAAGGCCCCCAGTTGCATCCATCTTGCTGCAAAGGAACACGACTTCATTATTTTTTATGGCTGCATAGTATTCCATGGCATATAGGAACCACAGTTTCTTTATTCAGTCTACCATTCCATTTCTTTGCTATGGTGAATAGTGCTGCAATGAATATATGAGTGCATGTATCTTTTTGGTAGAATGATTTCTTTTCCTCTGGATATATACCCAGCAATGGGATTGCTGGGTCAAATGGTAGCTCTGTTTAAGTTCTTTGAGAAATCTCTAACCTGCTTTTCACAGTGGCAGAACCAATTGACATTCCCACCAACAGCATTCTGTTTTCTCCACAGCCTTGCCAGCATCTGGTTTTTTTGTTTTTTTTTTTACTTTTTAATAATAGCCATTCTGGTATTTCACTGTGATTTTGATTTGCATTTCTCTGATGATTAGTGATGATGAGCATTTTTTCACATTCGTTGGCTACTTGTGTGTTTTCTTTTGAGAAGTGTCTGCTCATGTCGTTTGCCCATTTTTATATGGGGTTATTTGTTTTTTGCTTTTTGAGTTAAATTTCTTATGGATTCTGTATATTAGACCTTTGTCAGATGCATAGTTTGTGAACATTTTCTCCCATTTTGTAGGTTGTCTGTTTTCTCTGTTGATTGTTCCTTTTGCTTTACAGAAGCTCTTTAATTTAATTAGGTAATTTTTGGTTTTGTTGCAATTGCTTTGGAGGACTGAGTCATCAATTCCTTCCCAAGGCTGATGTCCAGAATAATATTCCCTAGGTTTTCTTGTAGGATTCTTACAGTTTGGCATCTTCCATGTAAATAATTCATCTTGAGTTAATTTCTTGTGTATGGTGAAATGTAGGAGTCCAGTTTTATTCTTCTACACATGGCTAGTCAGCTATCCCAGCACCATTTATAAAATAGGGAGTCCTTTTCTCATTGCTTACAAAAATATATCTCTTTAACATAAAAATTGTTTTGAACTGAGTGCAACTGGGAGGAGGCAGATAAAGAAAACGTTACCTGCCTTTCCTCAATTTGCCTAAAAGCAGGAGATAGATGTACAAAAGACAATTGTGTCCTCCTCCCCACACCAAGAAAGACAAAAATTAACAGCCAGGAGATGGCATCAGAGGAATCTATGAAACAACCCCTCCCAACTAGCTTTTATCTGCCATTTATTAGCCTTCCCACAATTTGCTGTCCCCAGAAACTTTTCCTTTGTCTTGTCCTTTTCCTTTGTCTTGTCCTTTTCCTTTGTCTTGTCCTTTTCCTTTGTCTTGTTATCCTCTAAAAATTTACCATTCTTCTTTGAAGCTGCTCCATAAGCTGGAGGCCTAGGTTACCTCTTTGGGAATTACTCATTCCCTGAGCATCTCTCGTGTATACATCTCTCGTGTATACATCTCTCGTGTATACTGAGCATCTCTCGTGTATACTGCAGTATACATTTTAATAAACTTGTTCATGTTTCTCTTGTGAATTTTTCTTTTGTTACCGGAGTCAGCCCCACCAGTAAACCTAAGAAAGGTAGATAAAAATAACTTCTCCTCCCCTACGAAAGCAAATTTTCAACTGTATTTCAAATATTAAACACAAATTTTAAAATGTGGGAAATATTTATAAGACAAAAAGCAAAGATTTAATAACCATGGCATTTTAAAATATCAGTAAGAGACAAATAAAAACCTGTATTGTAAATATATATGTGACAGATATAGAAAAAAAGAAAAGGAAGAAATACAAATAGGTCAAAAATATGAAAAGGCAAGCAATTTTTAGACAACTAAGCTATGTCCCTTCTAGGCCAATTTTGCTGGGGGTTTTAATCATAAAAGGATGCTGGATTTTGTCAAATGCTTTTTCTGTGTCTATCGAGATAATCGTGTGATTTTTGTTTTTAATTCTGTTTATGTGGCATATCACATTTACTGACTTACATATGTTAAACCATTCCTGCTTCCCTGGTATGAAACCCACTTGATCGTGGTGGATTATCTTTTTGACATGTTGTTGAATTTGGTTTGTTAGTTTTTTTTTTTTTCAGGATTTTTGCATCTATGTTCATCAGGAATATTGGTCTGTAGTTTTCTTTTTTTGTTATGTCCTTGCCTGGTTTTACTATTAGGGTGATACTGGCTTCATAGAATGATTTAGGGAGGATTCCCTCTTTCTCTATCTTGTGGAATAGTGTCAATAGGATTGGTACCAATTCTTTGAATGTGTGATAGAATTCAGCTGTGAATTCGTCTGGTCTTGGACTTTTTTTTTCGACAATTTTTAAATTACCATTTCAATCTTGCTGCTTGTTACTGGTCTGTTCCAAGATTCTATTTCTTCCTGGTTTAATCTGGGAGGTTGTATATTTCCAGGAATTTACCCATCTCCTCTAGGTTTTCTAGTTTATATGAGTAAAGATGCTCATAGTAGCCTTGAAAAGTCTTTTGTATTTCTGTGGTATCAGTTGTAGTATCTCCCATTTCATTTCTAATTGAACTAAATTGGATCTTTTCTCTTCTTTTCTTGGTTAATCTTACTAATGGTCTATCGATTTTATTTATCTTTTCAAAGAACCAGATTTTTGTCTCATTTATCTTTTGTATTTTTCTTTTTTTGTTTCAATTTTATTTAGTTCTGCTCTCATCTTCTATTTTCTTTTATTCTGCTGAGTTTGAGTTTGGATTGTTTTTGTTTCTCCAGTTCTGTGAGGTGTGACTTAGATTATCTATATGTGCTCTCTCAGACTTTTTGATGTAGGCATTTAATGCTCTGAACTTTCCTCTTAGAACCACTTTTGCTCTGTCCCAGAGGTTTTGATAGGTTGTGTCACTATTATCATTCAGTTCAAAGAATTTTTTAAATTTCCGTCTTGACGGTGTTGTTGACCCAATGATCATTCAGGAGCAGGTTATTTAATTTTTATATATTTGCATGGTTTTGAGAGCTCCTTTTGGAGTTAATGAAGGAGGTCTGCCCCTCCACATCTGTGGGTATTTCTCATCAGGTGGAGACAAGAGACTGAGAAAAGAGATAAGACACAGAGACAAAATATAGAGAAAGAACAGTGAGCCCAGGGGACCGGCACTCAATGTACGAGGACCTGCACCGGCACTGGTCTCTCAGTTCCCTCAGTATTTATTGATCACTATTTTTACTATCTTGGTGAACGGAGTGTGGCAGGGCAACAGGGTGATGGTGGGGAGAAGTTCAGCAGGGAAACATGTGAACAAAGCAATCTGTAACATGAATAAGTTCAAGGAAAGGTACTGTGTCTGGATGTGCACGTAGGCTAGATTTATGTTTCACTTTACATAAATATTTCAGTGTAGCAAAGAGTAACAGAGCAGTATTGCTGCCAGCATATCTCGCCTCCAGCCACAGGGCAGTTTCTCCTATCTCAGAATAGAACAAATGGTCGGCTTTACACCAAGACATTCCATTCCCAGGGATGAGCAGGAGATAGAAACCTTCCTCTTGTCTCAACCACACAGAGGCCTCCCTCTTTCACTACTCCTCCTCAGCACAGACCCTTCACAGGTGTGGGTCTGGGGGCTGTAAGGTCTTTCCTTTCCTAAAAGGCCATATCTCACGCTGTCTCACTGGGGGGAAATCTTGGACAATACCCAGGCTTTTTTGGGCAGAGGTCCCTGTGGCTTTCCACAGTGCATTGTGTCCCTGGTTAATCAAGAACGGAGAATGGCGATGACTTTTACCAGGCATACTGCCTGCAAACATATTGTTAACAAGGCACATCCCGCACAGCCCTAAATCCATTAAACCTTGATTCAAAACAGCATATGTTTCTGTGAGCACAGGGTTGGGGCTAAAGTTACAGATTAACAGCATCTCAAAGCAGAACAATTTTTCTTAGTACAGATCAAAATGGAGTTTCTTATGTCTTGCTTTTCTACATAGACACAGTAACAATCTGATCTCTCTTTTCCCCACAGTTAAATTCCAGCTTTATTCCACTGTGGTCTAAGAGAATACTTGACATAATTTTGAATTTCTTAAATTTGCTGAGGCTTGTTTCGTGGCCTATCACACTGTATGTCTTGGAGAATGTTCCATGTGCTGATGAATAGAATGCATATTCTACAGTTGTTGGGTAGAATGTTCTGCAAATATCTGTTAACTCCATTTGTTGTAGGGTATAGTTTAAGTCCATTGCTTCTTTGTTGACTTTCTATCCTGATGATCTGTCTAGTGCTGTCAGTGGAGTATTAAGGTCCCTCACTATTATTGTGTTGCCATGTATCTCATTTCTTAGGTCTAGTAATTGTTTTATAAATTTGGGAGTTCCACTGTTAGGGCCATATATATTTAGAATTGTGAAATTTTCCTGTTGGACAAGTCCTTTTATCATTATATAATGTCCTTCTTTGCCTTTTCTTTTTTTTTTTTTTTTTTTTTTTTGACAGAGTCTCACTCTGTTGCCAAGGCTGGAGGGTAATGGCACAATCTTGGCTCACTGCAACCTCCGCCTCCTGGGTTCAAGTTATTCTTCTGCCTCAGCCTCCCAAGTAGCTGGGATTACAGGTGCCCACCACCACACCCAGCTAATTTTTTTTTTATTTTTGGTAGAGACAGGGTTTCATTATGTTGCTTTAAAATTTGTATGATATAAGAATAGCTACTCCTGCTTGCTTTTGGTATACATTTGTGTGAAATATCTTTTTCCACTCCTTTACCTTAAGTTTATGTGGGTTTTTATGTGTTAGATGAGTCTCCTGAAGACAGCAGAAACTTGGTTGGTGAATTCTTATCCATTCTACCATTCTGTATCTTTTAAGTGGAGCATTTAGGCCATTTACATTCAATGTTAGTATTGAGATATGAGGTACTATTCTATGTGTTGTGCTATCTGTTGCCTGAATACCTTTTTCTTCCATTGTGTTGTAGTTTTATAGATCCTGTGACATTTATGTTTTAAGGAGGTTCTATTTTGGTATATTTTGAGGATTTGTGTCAAGATTTAGATTTCCTTTTAGCAGTTCTTGTAGTGCAAATTCTCTCAGCATCTGTTTGTCTGGAAAAAAATTGCATCTTTCCTTCATTTATGATGCTTAGTTTCACTGGATACAAAATTCTTGGCTGATAATTGCTTTGTTTAATGTCTTCAACAGTTTGGATGAGGCCCACATATTTTATGAAGGAGATTAATCTGCTTTACTCAAGGTCTACAGATTTAAATGCTAATCACATCTAAAATATACTTTCACAGCAACATCTAGACTCATGTTTGACCTAGCTGGGTACTATAGCCTAGAAAAGTTGACACATAAAATTAACTCTTATAGTTCATCCTTGACACTCATACACAACTCCTCAAACCATACTGAATCTTCAAATAAGGAAACTGACAAGTGCTATTTTCTCTTTGATATCCTATAACTTACATACTGTGATGTAAAAGTAATACATCTTATCTTACATCATAAGAGGATAAAAGAGGAAAGAAATCAAAGATATTTGCTTACTGTGTGTATATATATGCATATATGTATATGTAATACATAAAATAATTATGTAACATACATATAAATGTTTATATATGTCTATACATACATGCATTTATACAAACATATTCACAACAAAACAAAGAAGAAATATAACAATACAGTCCTCATTTCTGTAACTAGTCGCATGGTTGTAGCTGCCTTCTTTTATATTCTATGTTCCTTTGCCTTTGCAAGCATCTTGGTTGTAGTTCTTTACCTGGTGGGTCAACCCAGACCTTTATTCCTGAAGGGTCTGGGCCATTAATAGTCCTGTCTGAATTGGGTTGTTGTAGTTGTCCCCTGACTTTAATCACAGAGCATGACAGTACTGTGTGGAGTATTGGAGTAGCAGTCCAATTTGTCCTTTTTGGTCAGTATCAATTACCCCAACCACTATAGTAATTTCCCTTTTTACCTTTTGATCCAGAGGAACAAAGAGCTCAAAGTGGCCAGGTGGCCGTCTCAATTTCCAGTTTAACAGAAACGTTGTTTTGTCTCCTGACCTAAGCATTCTTCCCTCTGGAACCAAGACCTCTAGGCAAGCAGAGCTTAAGATCGTGAGGACAAAAATTGTTTGTCAGTGGATCACTAAGAGTAATAATGAATGATGCAAATCCCATTTCCATCCTTTGGTTCCTGGACCCATGAATCCTCACTATGTTGGAAACACCATATATTGGACATTGATTCAAAGCCTATATAGCATTATAGAGAACCTGTCTCAATCCTTCAAGGTTTTACCACCAAACTGATACTGCTACTGAGTCTTCCAAAGGCTATTCCACTATTCTTACAAGCCAGCTGCTTCAGGATCATGGGGAACATGGTAAGGCCAGTGAATTCATAATTCATGAGCATGAACTCATTGGCACACTCTGTTTTCTGTGAAGTGAGTTCCTTAACCAGAAGCAAAGCTGTGTAAAATAACATCGTGGTGGATAAGGCACTCTGTGAGTCCACAGACGGTACTTTTGCAGAACCGTAATGTGCAGAGAAGGCAAATTCACATCCAGAGTGTCTATTTCAGTAAGAACTACCTTCCGTGACAGAAGTGTTCCAGTGTAATCCACCTGCCACCTGGTAGCTGTCTGATCGCCCTGGGGAATGCTGCCATATCAGGGGCTCAATGTTTGTCTCTGCTGCTGGCAGATTGGGCAATCAGCAGTGACCGTAGTCAGGTCAGCCTTGAAGAATGGAAATTATGCATAATCTCCATCCCTGCCACCATACCTGTTCAGGAGCCCACTGTGTGATGACGGGGTGGCTGGGGAAAGAGGCTGACTGATATCCACACACTGTTGACTATTAGTTTCTCTGCTGACGTCACTCTTTGGTGAGCACTCACATAACACAATATCTTCAGGTTTTTAGCCTAAGAGAGGTCCATCCACATAATTCTTCCCCAGACCTCCTTGTCACCAATTGTCCAACCATATTCATTCCAAGTCTCTCACCATCCACCAAACCACTGGCCACAGCCCATGAATTGATAAAAAAAAATCACACATTTGGCCATTTCTGTTTCCAGGCAAAGCAAGGAACCAGATGTACTATTTGAAGTTCCACTCTGAGGGAGGATTTCTCTTCACCACTATTATTCATGGATGTCCCAGAAAGGGCCGTGGTGCTGCAGCTGTTCATTTTTTGGCAGTGCCCGAATATTGTGCAAAACCGTCTATGAACCAGGCCCAAGGTTTCTGTAGGGCCTGTTGATTGACCATAGGAAACTCACCATGAGGCCATCAGTGTAAGGTAGTGTAGCATGAGTGGGGACCACGGACATTTGGGTCACTTCTTTATGTAATTTACTAGTGTTTTCAGGACCTGCTTGAGCCTGATCTCATATGTATGCTTTCAATTTTACAATGAAGTGCTCTGCACATACCCCGTTTTATAGCTTAACAGGTCAGACTACATCCCCTTTATGAGGGGCAGCTCAGGTCACATGGTAACTTGGTGGCCCATGGTTAAGCATTCAATCTTTAATAAGGCCCAGGAGCAAGCCCAATGCAGTTTTCAAAAGAAGCTTAGGTGTCTGAAGAAATGGCAGGGCTTTGCTCCAAAATTCTAAGAGTCTTCGCTGTGATTCACCTAGAGGGCCCTGGCAAAGGGCCTGGCCCTAAACAGAATCCCTGTCTGCCACTGACACCTCAAGAACCATTAGAGCTGCTGGATCCTACGGCCCAAGTAGCAAAACAGCTTGCACAGCAGCCTGGACCTGTTGCAGAGCCTGCTCTTATTCTGAGTCCCCACTCAAAGCTAGCAAGTTTCTTAGTCAATGAGCTAGAGTAACACACCCAAATGAAGAATACGCTGCTGCCAAGATCCAAAGGGGCCACTAGACATTATGCTGCTTTTCTGGGCATAAAGGAAACGAGGTACAACAATTTATTCTTCATCACAGAAGGAAATCTCAACATGCTTTACACCACTTGACCCTAGAAATTCCACTGAGGTAGAAGACCCCTGATTATTGTCACATGTATTTCTCATCCCTTGGCATGTATCCATTTTATCAATAAATGTGGAAATGCCAGAGATTGTCAGCATACCCCCAGAAGCTAGGAGAGATGCATTGAAAAGATTTTCCCATAGAGAAACCAACTCAAAGTTTTTAGGCTTTTTCCCTTAAAAGACCCGCTCTGCCAACACCTTGACCTTGGACTTCTAACCTTCAGAATTGTGAGAAAATAAATGTTTATTATTTAAGCCACTCACTCTGTGGTCCTTTGTTATGGTAGCACCAGTAAACTAACACACCTAGATATTCAAATTTGTAGTCGCTTTATTCATTTATAGCCACTTTATTCATAATGTCAAAAACTTAAATATCCTACATATCCATCAGTGATTAGATTAACAAATTATAGTATATCTATATGGTGATATGCTGAGACAAGTAAGATGTACAACTACTGATAGAACATTAAACATAGATGAATCTCAAAAATATTATAATGACTAAAAGAAGCCTTACACACACAAAATAAATATGGAAAGGGTACATTGCTACAAATATCTAGAACAGTTATAATTATACGAAGCAGATCATTGGTTGCCAGGACTGGTGAAACTCAGGGAAAAGGAGCACTGTGGAACTTTCTGGGAGGATGTACGTGTTCTGTCTCTTCATAAGGAGGTGACTACATGGGTGAATACATTTGACAAAATTCTTATAACTCTACCCTTACAGTGGTTACATTTTCTTGTATATAATCACACTTGAGTAAAACTGATTAAAAATATAAACAATGTAAAATGTTCAAATATTTATATGCATAAAAGATAAGCTTCACAAAATTTACAGGTTAAAAAGCACTTATACAGCAATGATTCTATTGTTCTTCATAACCACATAAGATAGTTACATTTCTTAAATCCTGCTTTGCTGAAAAACTAGATCTCGGAAAGATTAAGACATCTGCTGTGGCTTATGGTGAACCACCAGAAGACATTGATGCTCTTGGATTTCAACGTTCCTTCTACCAATCAATACTGTTTATTAACCTATTGCTTGCCCCTTCTCTGATAATTCCAGATTGTTACTCAAATTAAAATTAATTTTATTACAAATAAGGTATTTATATCATAAAACAGCTACAAAGGCAGACGAAAAGTAAAAAATTTTGTCATTTTCCTAAAATTGGCTAATATCTACAGGACTGACATATTTTGACAGAATGACTTTTCTAGAATTGCAAAATTTCTATTGTTTCCCTTCCGCACATTAAAATCACCACAAGAGGGCATAAGAATTCGTTGAATAGAGAGGCAAAATGTGTATACAGCAAATGAGTTATCTGGAGTCCACCTATTGATTAATGCTTGTCAATGACTAAAAGGTCAGTACAGGTTGAAAATCCCTAATCTGAAGATCTGAAATGCTCCAAAATCTGAAACTTTTTTTTTTTTTGAGACAGGGTCTCACTCTGTTGCCCAAGCTGGAATGTGGTGGCAAGATCCTGGCTCAGTTCAGCCTCAACCTCCCAGTCTCAAACAATCCTACTACCTCAGCCTCCTGAGTACCTGGGACTACAGGTGTGCACCACCACACCTGGCTAATTTTTTAATTATTTGTAGAAACGAGGTCTCACTGTGTTGTGCAGTCTGGCCTCAAACTCCTGGGCTCAAGAGATCCACCTGTCTTGGCTTCCCAAAGTACTCGGATCACTGGCATGAACTGCATCACCAGCTTAACATCTGAAACTTTTTGAGCACTGACTTGAAATAGTGACACTTCTGCTTTCTGATGGTCCAATGTGCGCAAACTCTGTTTCAGGCATAAAATTATTTAAAATATTGTATAAAATTACCTTCAGGCTATTCAGATAAGGTGTATATCAAACATAAGTGAATTTTATGATTAGACTTGAATCCCATTTTCCAACTCTCTCATTATATGTATGGAAATATTCCAAAATCCAAAAATAAATCTGAAATCCAAAACACTTCTGGTCCCAAGCATCTCATCTAAGGGATACTCAACTCGTATACTGTAACTATACAAAAAAATATATAATGAATGCATTGTCAATTAAGGCTTTTGTCTCCAAATTAGGAAGCTGGCATATCATTAAAAAACTTCTTGGGAAAGAAAGCATAATTAGATGGATTATTTTCCAGTTTGCTTGAATTTTAAAACCAGAAACTACACATCCACCTTCGGTAGAGATAACTAGTCACAGGTTAAATTAACTAGTGTGTTGCAAACAAAATATAAGCACAAGTTTATTTTCAATTTTTACTAATATTTGAACAGAATCCTTCGATTCTCTGTTGGCTAGAAAATTGAAAAAATTGACAATTATATATGCTTCATTTCATCTTTTTTTATTTTGTGACACTTTCAATTTCTCTTCTCAGAAAAGCCAATGTCAAAAACTATTAATTTTTGAACTATTACTGCAAGTTTATATGCAAAAATATCCAGTACATAGAAAAAGAAAAATTGAAGTAAATGTCAGGTTAGCAAAGGGTCTGGTCACTGGTCTTACACAGTTTATTGAGTAGATTACACCTCAAAGATGAAATAGGTAATTGGATGGGGAGATGTTGGCATTTGAAATTTGGTGAGCAGGCTTGGAATTGAAGATTCTTGGACATATATTTGTGGAGACTTATTGGTAACCAAAACCCAAATTCTGTAAAATATTTAAAGAGGTTGATTCTGAGCCAACATGACTTACCATGGCCTGGGATACACTCTCAGGAGGTCCTGAGAAAGTGTGCCTGAGGTGGTCAGGTCACCGTTTACTTTTATACATTTTAGGGAGACAGGAGTTACAAGCAAAGACATAAATCATTAAATGGAAAGTGCACATCGGTTCAGCTTAAAGAGGCAAGATCTTGAAGCAGGAGAGAGCTTACAGGTCATAGGTAGATTCAAAGTTTGTCTGATTGGCAATTGGTTGAAAGAGTTAAGCTTTGTCTAAAGACTTAAGAAGTCAGTAGAAAAGAATGCTTTAGCTAAAATAAAGGGGTTGTGGAAACCAAGGTCTCTGTTATGTAGACAAAGTCTCATAGATGGAATCCCTCAGACAGTGTGTGATCTACACCAGAGTCAGGTTGGAATTGGGACTCTTATTGCCACAATCAGTCTATTTCATCAGTCTTATGACTCATCCTGGTCACTTGTGCATAAACTCCAAAAGGGAAGGGGTATAACAAGGTGTGTCTCACCTCCCTTCCTATCATGGCCAGAATTCAGTCTTTCAGGTTCATCTGAGGTCTCTTTGGCCTAGAAGAGGGTCCATTCAGTTAGTCAGGGGGATTAGAAATTTATTTTCATTTTACATTATTGTCCTAAGAAAGTTTTTTTTATCACCTCCATGTCCTCAAACTTTACAAGCAAAAACACATAGAATATTTTAGGTCATTGTGTCAATTTCTATGATTTCACCTAAGCCACAGAGATGCCACATATCAGAGTTGCCTAAGGATATATAATAAGATAATATTTCTAAACTTTAGCCAGAAAGGAATGTTTCATGCACTGCTCAGGGTGAACAACTTCGCCAGAGTCTGCTATTCTGCATTGTCTTCATTGCTGGAAGGTGATAAAGCAGCTTGAGGATTTTAGTGTGGAAACACAACTTCATAATCATGCTCATGGGTGCAGGAACAAGGCCTACTAACAGAAGTCCTAAGAAGGGCATATTCTGTCTCTGACCTTTCTCTAAACTGTCTCACTTTCCTTGTGAGGGAGTCAATGTTCTCATAGCCATCATCATTGGAGCTCAGGGAGGATCTCTGATGGGGGATGTGATTAATGACAGTGTAGCACACTTCTTCAGAACCACTGCCATTCTCGTTTTCCTGCCAAGCACAAAGAGAAAAGAAATCAAGGATCCACGGTCATTCATAAATTGAACTCAGTGTACTACCTTCCCTTCTTCTTTATACACCTGATGGTGCTCTTACACTTAAGGTATCCAAAACCCAAGCATTCCTGTACACCAATAATAGACAAGCAGAGAGCCAAATCATGAGTGAACTCCCATTTACAATTGCTACAAAGAGAATAAAATACCTAGGAATGCAACTTACAAGGGAAGTGAAGGACCTCTTCAAGGAGAATTAAAAACCACTGCTCAAGGAAATAAGAGAGGAAACAAACAAATGGAAAAATATTCCATGTTCAAGGATAGGAAGAAGCAATATCATAAAAATGGAAATACTGCCCAAAGTAATTTATAGATTCAATGCTATTTCCATCAAGCTCCCCGACTTTCTTCGCAGAACTAGAAAAAACTACTTTAAATTCCATATGGAACCAAAAAAGAGCCTGTTTAGCCAAGACAATCCTAAGCAAAAAGAACAAAGCTGAATAGGAACAGCTCCAGTCTGCAGCTCCCAGCAAGACCAATAGAGAAGGCGGGTGATTTCTGCATTTCCAACTGAGGTACCCAGTTCATCTCATTGGGACTGGTTAGACAGTGAGTGTAGCCCACAGAGGGTGAACAGAAGCAGGGTGGGGCATCACCTCACACAGGAAGTGCAAGGGATTGGGGAACTCCCTCCCTTAGCCAAGGGAAGCCATGAAGGACCATACCTTGAGGGACAGTGCTATCCAGCCCAGACACTACACTTTTCCCACGGTCTTTGCAACCCACAGACCAGGAGATTCCTTTGGGTGCCTACACCACAAGGGCCCTGGGTTTCAAGCATAAAACTGGGTTTCAAGCACAAAACTGAGTGGCCATTTGAGCAGACACCAAGCTAGCTGCAGGAGTTTTTTTCATACCTCAGTGGTGCCTGGAACACCAATGAGAAAGAACTGTTTACTCCCCTGGAAAAGGGGCTGAAGCCAGGGAGCCAAGTGGTCTTGCTCAGTGGGTCCCACCACCATGGAGCCCAGCAAGCTAAGATCCTCTGGCTTGAAATTCTTGCTGCCAGCACAGCAGTCTGAAGTCGACCTGGGACATTCGAGCTTGGTGGGGGAAGGGGCATCTGCCATTACTGAGGCTTGAGTAGGCAGTTTTCCCCTCACAGTGTAAACAAAGCCGCAGGGGAATTTGGGCTGGACTGAGCCCACTCCAACACCACAAAGCCACTGTGGCCAGACTGCCTCTCTATATTTCTCCTCTCTGTGCAGGGCATCTCTGAAAGAAAGGCAGCAGCCCCAGTCAGGGGCTTACAGAAGGAAAGGCTGTGGGTGCAGCTTCAACGGACTTAAACATTCCTGCCTACCTGTTGGCTCTGAAGAGAGCAGCAGATCTCCCAGCACAGTGCTCAAGCACTGCTAAGGGAAAGATGGCCTCCTCAAGTGGGTCGCTGACCCTCATGCCTCCTGACAAGGAAACACCTCCCAACAGGGATCGACAGACACCTCATACAAGAGAGCTCCAGCTGGCATCTGGCAGGTGCCCTGCTGGGACAAAGCTTCCAGAGGAAGGAGTAGGCAGCAATCTTTGCTGTTCTGCAGTCTCCACTGGTAATACACATGCAAACAGAATCTGGAGTGGATCCCCAGCAAACTCCAGCAGACCTGCAGAATACGGGCCTGGTTGTTAGAAGGAAAACTAACAAACAGAAAGCAATAGCGTCAACATCAACAAAAAGGACAACCACGCAAAAACTCCATACAAAGGTCACCAAGAGCAAAGACCAAAGGTAGATAAATCCACAAAGATGAAGAAAAAGCAGCTCAAAAAGGCTGAAAATTCCAAATACCAGAATGCCTCTTCTCCTCCAAAAGATCACAACTCCTCGCCAGCAAGGGAACAAAACTGGACGGAAAATGAGTATGTCAAATTGACAGAGGTGGGCTTCAGAAGGTGGGTAATAAACTCTTCCGATCTAAAGGAGCATGTTCCAAGCCAATGCAAGGAAGCTAAGAACCTTGAAAAAAGGTTACAGGAATTGCTAACTAGAATAACTAGATTAGAGAAAAACATAAATGACCTGATGGAGCTGAAAAACATAGCACGAAAACTTCGTGAAGCATACACAAGTATCAATAGCCAAATTGATCGGGCAGAAGAAAGGATGTCAGACATAGAAGATCAACTTAATGAAATAAAGCATGAAGACAATGTTAGAGAAAAAAAAATGAAAAGGAACAAACAAAGCCTCCAAGAAATATGGGACTATGTGAACAAAGATCAAACCTACATTTGATTGGTGTACCTGAAAGTGACGGGGAGAATGGAATCAAGTTGGAAAACACACTTCAGGATATTATCCAGGAGAATTTCCCCAACCTGGCAAGACAGGCCAACATTGTAATTCAGAAAGTACAGAGAACATCACAAAGATACTCCTGAGAAGAGCAACCCCAAGACACATAATCATCAGATTCACCGACGTTGAAATGAAGGAAAAAATGTTAAGGACAACCAGAAAGAAAGGTTGGGTTACCCACAAAGGGAAGCCCATCAGACTAATGGCGGATCTCTCTGCAGAAACCCTACAAGCCAGAAGAGAGTGGGGGCCAATATTCAACATTCTTAAAGACAAGAATTTTCAACCCAGAATTTCATATCTAGCTAAACTAAGCTTCATAAGTGAAGGAGAAATAAAATCCTTTACAGAGAAGGAAATACTGAGGGATTTTGTCACCATGAGGCCTGCCTTACAAGAACTCCTGAAGGAAGCACTAAATATACAAAGGAAAAACCAGTACCACCCACTGCAAAAACAAACCAAAATGTAAAGTCCATTGACACTATGAAGAAACTGCTCAACTAATGAGCAAAATAACCAGCTAGCATCATAAGGACAGGATCAAATTCACACATAACAATATTAAACTTAAATGTAAATGGGCTAAATGGCCCAATTAAAAGACACAGACTGGCAAATTGGATAAAGATTCAAGATCCATCAGTGTGCTGTATTCAGGAGACCCATCTCACATGCAGAGACACACATACACTCAAAATAAAGGGATGGAGGAAGATTTACGAAGCAAATGGAAAGCAAAAAAGAGCAGGTGGTGCAATCTGATAAAACAGACTTTAAACCAACAAAGATCAAAAGAGACAAAGAAGGCCATTACATAACGGTAAAGGGATTAATGCAACAAGAAGAGCTAACTATCCTAAATATATATGCACCGAATACAGGAGCACCCAGATTCATAAAGCAAGTCTTTAGAGACCTAAAAAGAGACTCAGACTCCAACACAACAATAGTGGGAGATTTTAACACCCCACTGTCAATATTAGACAGATCAACGAGACAGAAGATTAACAAGGATATTCAGGACTTGAACTCAGCTCTGGACCAAGTGGACCAAATAAACATCTACAGATCTCTCCACCCCAAATCAACAAAATATATATTCTTCTCAGCACGAAATAGCACTTATCCTAAAATCAACCACATATTTGGAAGTAAAACACTCCTCAGCAAATGCAAAAGAACAGAAATCATAACAAAAAGTCTCTCAGACCACAGTGCAAATCAAATTAGAACTCAGGATTAAGAAACTCACTCAAAACCGCAAAACTACATGGAAACTGAACAACCTGCTCCTGAATGACTACTGGGTAAATAATAAAATGTAGGCAGAAATAAAGATGTTCTTTGAAACCAATGAGAACAAAGACACAACAAACCAGAACCTCTGGGACACAGCTAAAGCAGTGTTTAGAGGGAAATTTATAGCACTAAATGCAAACAGAAGAAAGCGGGAAAGATCTAAAATCAATACCCTAACATCACAATTTAAAAAACTAGAGAAGCAACAGCAAACAAATTCAAAAGCTAGCAGAAGACAAGAAATAACTAAGATCAGAGCAGAACTGAAGGAGATAGAGACATGAAAAACCCTTCAAAAAATCAATAAATCCAGGAGCTGGTTTTTTTGAAAAGATTAACAAAACAGATAGACCACTAGCCAGACTAATAATGAAGAAAGACAGAAGAATCAAATAGACACACTAAAAAATAATAGAGGGGAGACTACCACTGATTCCACAGAAATACAAACTACCATCAGAGAATACTATAAACATTTCTACACAAATAAACTAGAAAATCTAGAAGAAATGGATAAATTCCTGGACACACACACCTTCCAAGACTAAACCAGGAAGAAGTTGAATCCCTGAATGGACCAATAACAAGTTCTGAAACTGAAGCAGTAATTAATTAGCCTACCAACCAAAAAAAGCCCATGACTAGATGGATTCACAGCTGAATTCTACCAGAGATACAAAGAGGAGCTGGTACCATTCCTTCTCAAACTATTCCAAACAATAGAAGAATAGGGACTCCTCCCTAACTCATTTTATGAGGCCAGCATCACCCTGATATGAAAACTTGCCAGAGACAAAACAAAAATAGAAAATTTCAGGCCAATATCCCTGATGAACATCAATGCGAACATCCTCAATAAAACACTGGAAAACCAAATCCAGCAGCACATTAAAAAGCATATCCACCACGATCAAGTCGGCTCCATCCCTGGGATGCAAGACTGGTTCAACATACACAAATCAATAAACGTAATCTATTAAACAGAAAGAACCAATGACAAAAACCACATGAATATCTCAATAGATGCAGAAAAGGCCTTCGATAAAATTTAACACCCCTTCATGCTAAGAACACTCAATAAACTAGGTACTGATCAAACCTATCTCAAAATAATAAGAGCTATTTATGGCAAACCTACAGTCAACATCATACTGAATGGGCAAAAGTTGGAAGCATTCCCTTTGAAAACCAGCACAAGAAAAGTATGCCCTCTCTCTCCACTCCTATTCAACATAGTATTGGGAGTTCTGACCAGGGCAATCAGGCAAGAGAAAGAAATAAAGGGTATTCAAATAGGAAGAGAAAAAGTCACATTGTCTCTGTTTGCAGATGACGTGATTGTATGTTTAGAAAATCACATCGTCTCAGCCCAAAAACTCCTTAACCTAATAAGCAACTTCAGCAAAGTCTCAGGATACAAAATCAATGTGCAAAATTCACAAGCATTCCTCTACACCAATAACAGACAAAGAGAGCCAAATCATGAGTGGACTCCCATTCACAATTGCAAATTGTGTTTTATTCTCTTTGTATTCACAATACAAAGAGAATAAAATACCTAGGAATACAACTTACAAGGGACGTAAAGCACCTCTTCAAGGAAACTAAAAACCACTGCTCAAGGAAATAAAAGAGGACACAAACAAATGGAAAAACACTCCATGCTCATGGATAGGAAGAATCAATATTGTGAAAATGGCCATACTGCCCAAAGTAATTTATAGATTCAATGCTATTCCCATCAAGCTACCATTGTCTTTCTTCACATAATTAGAAAAAAAGCTTCTTTAAATTTCATATGGAAACAAAAAAGTGCCCATATAGCCAAGACAATCCTAAGCAAAAAGAACAAAGCTGGAGGCATCACGCTACCTGACTTCAAACTATACTACAAGGCTACAGTAACCAAAACAGCATGGTACTGCTACCAAAACAGATATATAGACCAATGGAACAGAACAGAGGCCTCAGAAATGACACCACACAGCTACAACCATCTGATCTTTGACAAACCTGAGAAAAGCAAGCAATGGGGAAATGATTCACTATTTAATAAATGATGTTAGGAAAACTGGCTAGCCATATGCAGAAAACTGAAACTGGACCCCTTCCTTACACCTTATACAAAAATTAACTCAAGTTGGATTAAAGATTTAAATGTAGGACCTAAAACCATAAAAACCCTAGAAGAAAACTTGGGCAATACCATTCAGGACATAGGCATGGGCAAAGACTTCTTGACTAAAACACCAAAAGCAATTGCAACAGAAGCCAAAATTGACAAATGGGATCAAATTAAACTAAAGGGCTTCTGCATGGCAAAAGGAACTATCATCAGAGTGAACAGGCAATCTACAGAATGGGAGAAAAATTTTGCAATCTATCCATCTGACAAAGAGCTAATATCCAGAATCTACAAAGAACTTAAACAAATTTACAAGAAAAAAACAACCCCATCAAAAAGTGGGTGAAGGATATGAACAGACACTTCTCAAAAGAAGACATTTATGCAGCCAAAAAACATAAGAAAAAAAAGCTAATCATCACCAGTCATTAGAGAAATGAAAATCAAAACCACAATGAGATACCATCTCATGCCAGTTAGAATGGTGATCATTAAAAATCAGGAAACAACAGATGCTGGAGAGGATGTGGAGAAATAGGAACGCTTTTACACTGTTGGTGGGAGTATAAACTAGTTCAACCATTGAGGAAGACAGTGTGGCAATTCCTCAAGGATCTAGAACTAGAAATACCACTTGACCCAGCAATCCCATTACTGGGTATATACCCAAAGGATTATAAATCGTTCTACTATAAAGACACATGCACTTGCATTTTTATTGCAGCACTATTCACAATAGCAAAGACTTGGAACCAACTCAACTGCCCATCAATGTTAGACTGGATAAAGAAAATGTGCCACAAATACATCATGGAATACTATGCAGCCATAAAAAAGAATAAGTTTATGGTCTTTGCAGGGACATGGATGAAGCTGGAAACCATCATTCTCAGCAAACTAACACAGGAACAGAAAACCACACACTGCATGTTCCCACTCATAAGTGGAAGTTGAACAATGAGAACACATGGGCACAGGGAGGGGAACATCACACACCCGGGCCTGTTGGGGTGTGGGGGGCAAGGGGAGGGAGAGCATTAGAACAAATACCTAATGCATGGGGGGTTTAAACCCTAGATGAAGGGCTGATAGGTTCAGCAAAGCACCGTGGCACATGTATTCCTATGTAACAGACCTGCCCATTCAGCACATGTATCCCAGAACTTAAAGTAAAAATAAATAAATAAATAAATAATAAAATATATATAATGTAAGAAATGTTTCTAGAAAAAAAAAAGCCCTTGCTCCAAGCCCTGGTGTCTTAGAGACCTCATTATAGCAGCATAAACTGCACTCCAAGCTTCTACTAATTGTGCTTTAATTTTACTTGAATAATAAAAGAGAAAAGAAGGATGCTATTATGCCTCTAACTATCCAGGGAAAAGCACTTCTATACTTTCGTTCACACACACTGAGATGCAATGTTTGCAACAATCAGACCTCAGTAAGTAATGAATAAGTAATTATTCATTATAATTTTTATAAGATAAAATACTAAGAAAAAATTGAGTTTATGCACATTTTCAATTGCATAGACAGTGAAGGAAAGAAAAAATAAAAACATTAATATATACTAATTAAATCAACAAAATTTTTATGAGGTAGTATCAAAAGGAATAAACTTTTTTCCATATGTTATAGTTTCCACCATACTTGTCAATGCAAATGCTAATTCCTGGATATAAGGATTGAAAGGGAATGTGGAAAGCTAAAAATAATTAATGTTTTATGGTGGTCAGTTTTTAAGTATAAATTTACTTAATTTCATCTGTTTTTGTTATAATAGCTTTGAAAATTAAAATAATAGGCTGGACACAGTGACTAATGCCTGTTACCCCTGCACTTTGGGAGGCTGAGGCCAGTGGATTCACTTGAGGCCAGGAGTTCGAGACTAGCCTGGCCAACATAGTGAAACCCTGTCTCTACTAAAAATAAAAAATTAGCCAGGTGTGGTGGTGCACACCTGTAAAGCCAGCTACCTGGGAGGCTGAGGCACCAGAATCACTTGAACCCAGGAGGTGGAGGTTGCAGTGAGCCGAGATCGTGCCACTGCACCCCAGCCTGGATGACAGAGTGTGACTCTGTCTCAAAAAATAAATAAATAAATAAAATTAGACTTCAGCAGAATTGAGGCCAAAACGGTAAGAACTTGCTACTCATCTCGATCAGTTGAAATACTTTTTGGTTTTTTATTTCCTTTCATTTCTGCATTACAATTGCCATATAAATTATTTAAAATATGAATGATTTCTAAAAGTACATTTAGAAATTACAAATAAAGGAAGACAGATGCTACTCTTGAATAAATCATCTGTATTTTGGCATTTATCAGACAAACATAATAAAAGTTTGTGTTTTTCTTTTGTCTTGCTTTTTGTTTTCTACTTACCTGATTAGAAGTGGATGAAACTTCTTGGCCTGGAGAATTAAAAAAAAAAAAAAAAGAAAGAAAGGAAAGCACTGTGAGACTTTTGCCCCATCACAGATTGAAGGAAAAGGTGAAAAAAACAGAATGTAGAAGTCATAAAACTGCAGAGGCCTATTATCTAAACATCTGACATGACATTGCCCCATCTTATAACTGAAGTTCTCAAGACTGAGTGAAAAAATCAAGAAAGAACATGTGTTCTGAGATAGCATCAATAGTATGTTCTTTCTGTAAATAAAGCACATTAATGTACTGAATAAGATGGATTTCAAAATTTGGTAATAAAATGTTCATAAATGTGCTATGTCAATGCAATATGATAAGCATAAAGAAAGAATGATTATAGCTGCAAATTTAAGATATAAATTTTATGTAACTATCACAGGAAAATCATACAATTCTTTAAAATGAACACTTGCTATAGAGATAGGTACAGAAATAACACGAGTAACTATTTCAAGTTACACACAAATATGCAGATTCATGTTGATTCCATCTGTGAATGCTGAAGCAATTTACATACGTGTGAATCTGAAATTGACTACCAATTTTTTTTTTTTTTTTAGACAGATTCTCGCTCTGTCGCCCAGACTGGAGTGCAATGGTGCTATCTCGGCTCACTGCAACCTCCGCCTCCTGGGTTCAAGCGATTCTCCTGCCTCAGCCTCCCAAGTAGCTGGGACTACAGGCACATGCCACCATGCCCAGCTAATTTTTGCATTTTTAGTAGAGACGGGGTTTCACCGTGTTAGCCAGGATGGTCTCAATCTCCTGACCTCGTGATCTGCCCACCTCGGCCTCCCAAAGTGCTGGGATTACAGGCATGAGCCACTGGGCCCAGCCGTCTGTTCACTCTTGTTAGTTATTTTTGCTGTGCAGAAATACTTTAGTTTAATTAGATCTCATTTGTCCATTTCTGCTTTTCTTACAATTGCTTTTGATGTCTAGATCATGAAATATTTGCTCATTCCTATGTTCTGAATGGTATTGCCTAGGTTGTTTTACAGGGTTTTTATAATTTTGGGTTTTACGTTTGGGTCTTTAATCCATCTTGAGTTAATTTTTGTATATGGCGTAAGGAAGGGGTCCAGTTTCTATCCTCTCCATATGGCTAGCCAGTTAACCCAGCACCACGGATTGAATAGGAAATCCATCCCCATTGCTTGTTAGTTAGCAACGTAGTATTCTTCATTTGAAATTTGCTAAGGGAATAGATCTCAAGTGCCCTTATGTCCCCACATTCATACAAGATGGTAGCTATGTATAGTGATGGATATATTAATTTGATGTAGTAATCATTACACAATGTATACATATATCAAATCATCACATTGCACACCTTGAATATAGGCCATTTTTATTTGTCAGTTATACCTCAATAAAGTTAGGGGTAAAAATAAACAGAGAGTTTCCTTTAGGTATACTTGTCCACAGGGGCTGAGCCCTGTTATTCATAACTGTCGATTTTGAGTAATTACATGATTACTATACCTAGATACTATGGCAAACAGAGCAAATTCTTTTTTTTTTTTTTTTTTAAGACAGGCTCTTGCTACATTGCTCAGGCTGGACTCTTAATTTCTGGCCTCAAGGAATCCTTCTACTTCAGCCTCCCAAGTAGCTGGGACTACAGGAGTGCACCACCAGCTTCTTTCAACTTCTTGAGAACAAAATAATACACTTTTTAGGGGCCGGGCATGGTGGCTCACGCCTGTAATCCCAGCACTTTCGGAGGCTGAGGCAGGTGGATCACGAGGTCAGGAGTTTGAAACCAGCCTGGCCAACATGGTGAAACCCTGTCTCTACTAAAAATACAAAGATTAGCTGGGTGTGGTGGTGTCTCCCTGTAATCCCTGCTACTCAGGAGGCTGAGGCAGGAAAATCACTTGAACCCGGAAGGCGGGGGGTTACAGTGAGCCGAGATTGTGACACTGCACTCCAGCCTGGGCGATAGGGTGGGACTCCATCTCAAAAAAAAAAATACACTTCTTATCGCCTGCTAATATTCAAAGGCCCTATTTTAGAACACCAATATACAAATTAAAAACAGTAGAATTTTGGTTAACTTCTTTCCACAGAAGTTTCTTAAATGTCACTCAAAAAATAATATACAAATATTACTTTAATACCAAGAATGATGTGATCAGTTTTATGAAAGAGTAAGAACTCCAAGCAGCCTCTTCTCCAATCTGTTATTACAATAGGCTCAAGAGTGTCTGCTAATTGGATGCTTAAATTTGCACTTCCCTACTATGAAAAATATTATACAGCCATGACTTACTTTTCTTATCTTGATCTTGAAGTTTTCTTTCAAATGTAGTCATTTCCTGCCTACAAGGAAAGAGATAGTAACATGAGATACTCCAGGTTCTCCAAAGCTGAAAATGCCTTTCAAAAAAAGCATTTGGTTGCCCTTAACCTAAGGCCATTGTTAGATTTTCCATGCAAATATTAAATACAATTAAAAGGCTGCTTACTCCAGCCTTTTTTGAAAAACCACAAAAATCTAGACAATGAAAAGTGGAAAACAAAGCTCCATATAGCATGAAGCTAAGAGAATTATTAGCTTATCAGACTACATATATTATTACACGCATGGAAAACATACATATAATATAATGAAATTTAGGACAATTCAAGAGAGAAAATGGAAAGTTTTGAAATTTATTTTTCTGCTATTCTTGATGAGGGTGTATAAATCCTTAAAGACAAATGAGAGGGTCTTACGAATTCTAACTAAAACCTTACAGTAATAGACATTAATAAGTGTGGTGGCCGGGTGGGATGGCTTATGCCTGTGATCCCAGCACTTTGGGAGGCCAAGGCGGGCAGATCACGAGGTTAGGAGATCGAGACCTTCCTGGCCAACACGGTGAGACCCCGTCTCTACTAAAATACAAAAAAAAAAAAAAAATGAGCTGGGTACGGTGGCATGCACTTGTAGTCCCAACTACTCGGGAGGCTGAGGCAGGGGAATTGCTTGAACCCGGGAGGCAGAGGTTGCAGCGAGCAGAGATCATTTCACTGCACTCCAGCCTGGTGACAGAGCGAGTCTCCATCTCAAAAATAAAAATAAAAATAAATTAAAAAAAAAATAAGTGTGGGCCAGTGATGAAAGAAATAGAGATTATTTTTAAAGGGACACAATTTACACAATAAAGAGGATTCAAAGGCGGTAGGGAGGAGATGGGGTTGCCAGCATATCACCTTTTATTTCTCTGTCAGTCAGACTCCTAAATTTAAGGGGAAATATGAAAAAAGGATATAACTTGTAATCAGCTGCCTGCCTCAAGGACAGCTAGGTACACAGTAGAGAGATGTGCCTGGGCTGAGGGAAAAACATTTTGTGAGGAAGCATTCTAAAACGACATGCCACAATCACTGCCTGGATTTTGCAACAGAGCAGAGACCCCTCTTGGAAGTCTGTCTGGCACTGCCAAGCAAGGAAATAAAGGAAAGTCGTGAGTTTCTTCGAGGGAAATTCCAGGCACCCAGCCAGCCCTGAGCAGTAAATAAGGAGCCTGGGAAGCAGGAGGAAACCTGGACCTCCACCACATGCATCCTCTGGCACACGGACCTCAGGCACGGGCGCGCTGAGGACTGAACTCCCAGCGCCATACTTTGTCTAAATTTCTTCCTGAGGAGCCTGAGAAAGTCATGCCCAGGAGCCAGACCTTAGCGTTCCTTACTCATGGCTCCATATTCTCAGACAAAGCTTTGCTTCCTTAAACAATTGCAAATCAAAGAATCTTTCATTCCACCTATGACCCGTAAGGCACCCTTCCCCCTCAGCTTCAAGGTATCTCAGCTTTTTAGGCCAAACAAACTATAATCTCCATGTATTTATTTACAATTTTGCCTGTAAATTCTGCTTTCCTGAAATTTACCCCTGCCTTTAAAAACCCTTGATTGTAAGCCATTGAAGAGGACAGGTCTTAAGCCTGAGGGATCCATTCTCCTTGCTTGGTGACCTGCAAATAGACGCCTCCTTGGTCCTGCTGCAACCCTCCGTGTGGATGTTTTTGGCTTTGCGGCGCCGGGTGAGCCGCCCTCAGTTTGGTTCAGTCACAGCCATAGCTTGTTTCTCGTCTGCACCCTCCTTAAACACACACGCATACACGCAATTTTATCTCACAAATGATCTACTTTCATTCAGAGTACTAAGCACAAAGTTACAAAGATGAAATGCGTAACAAAAGCAAAACAAAAGAAGCAGAAACAATATTTTAGAAGCAGAAAAATAACATGTTTATTATTGTTAATAGTTATTAACAATAATAAATGGAGAAGGAAAATGGACTGGCCTAAACCAGGAAAACAATTATAGAGAATAACATTTTTATATTAAATTAAAGCAACATTAATGGGAGAGGAAAGAATCAAGAGAAGTTAGCTAATGGGTACAAAAATATAGTTAGCTAGAACAAATAACTCCTAGTATTTGATAGCACAGTGAGGAAAATTATAGTTAATAATAATTTATTGTATATTTCAAAATAGCTGGAAGAAAAGAATTGTAATGTTCCCAAGACAAATAAAAGATTGGTGTTTGAGTAGATGGATATCACAAGTACTCTGATTTAATCATTACACATTGTATACATTTATCAAAATATCACATGTACCCCCCAAATATGTACAAGTATGCTCTATCAGTTTTAAAAGTAGGCCAGGTGTGGTGGCTCATGCCTGTAATCACAGCACTTTGGGAGGCAAAGGCAGATGGATCACTTGAGCCCAGAAGTTTGAGACCAGACTGGGCAACATGGCAAAACCCTGTCTGTACAAAAAAGTTGTATATTAGCCAGGCATGATGGTGTGCACCTGTAGTCTCAGCTACTTGGGAGGCTGAGGTGGGAGAATTGCTGGAACCCAGGAGGCGGAGGTTGCAGTGAGCCGAGATCACGCCATTGTACTCCAGCCCCAGTGACAACAGTGAGACTTGGTCTCAAAAAAATAAAAAATAAAAATAAAAAAAATCTAAACAAATGAAACAAAAGTAGAATGAGAGAAAAGTCATAAAATAAATACTTAAATCTGAAAACCGACTTCACAGGGGAAAAAACAAATGGCATGGAACACTGAGATATGGTGACTATAGTCAGTGACAACGTGTGCTTGAAATTCGCTAAAAGAGTGGATCTCAAGCATTCTCATCACACACAAAAATAATGGTAACTGTCTGAGATAATAAATATATTAAGTTGTTAATGTACTTATAGTGGTAATCACTTCACCGTATATACATATCAAAACATCATATTGTGTACCTTCAATATGTACAATTTTTGTTTTTCATTCATAGCTCAAGAAAGGTGAGAAAAAAAATTAAAATAAAGACATATGTATAAAAGAAAATAATACATGTTTGGGGGTGGGGGTAGGGAACAAATAATGAGTTTTCAAACTTTCATGGGGAAAATGTATGTAAAACCAAGTCATCAGGAAGGCGGCTTAAGGTGGCTCAGCTCCACAGCTGCAGAGTGGAATTACGTTCACTAAGTTGTGAGGAGAAAGATACGATCCAAGAACTGTATTACTCTCCAAGGAAAGAAGATGTGTTCTCAAATGTCTTAGTACTGAGATAATCTAAAACCTACGAGGTCTTTAGGAAAGAAATAAAGCAAACATTACTGCACAACCACATTTGGACTTTGTAAAATGTGAAGTTATGTAACAAAGCAGCTGGTGAATGGGGAATTCAGCCACTCAGTTATCTGTCGTTCCGAGGCTCCAGCCACAAAATCCAAACCTATCTAAGTCCGGGCTGTGGATTATCAGCACCTACTGCTTGTCCACTCTCTCTTAAATACAGTGGAACAATTCTGCATGCTGTGGCCGCTGGAAATGTCCAGACAGTGGCAGGAATTCCTGGATTTCTAAGAATCCTCTTAGATTTTCTTGACATCTCTCATGAACTAAATTATGTCCCCTTAAAATCCACATGTTGAAGTCCTAATCCCCAGAACCTCAGAATGTGACTGTATTTGGAGATAGGATCTTAACACAGGTAATTAAATTAAAACAAGGTCATAAGATTGGGCCTTATTTCAGTATGACTGGTGTCTTTATAAGAACAGAACATTTGAACACAGTCGTAACACAGAGGGAAGACAATACGAAGACTCAGGGATAAGACAGTCATCTACAAGCCAAAGACAGACTTCACAAAACAGCCCACCTCTGCCAACATGTTGATCTCAGACTTCCAGTCTCCGCAATTGTGAGAAAGAAAATTTTGGTTCTTTAAGCCACCCAGTCTATGGTACTTCGCTATAAGAGCCTTAGTAAATGAATATAGATAGATATATGGGAACTAGACTAGGCAATACTAATGAAACAGGACCTCCCTCTATCCTCCCTATCCGAGAGGAAGCTGCCTGCAATGTCCCTGGGTGTCCTTGATCTCCCGTCACAGGGACCTTCTCACACTGCGGAAGATGAAGATTTTAGCAAGGCCGTCATTTCAGAAAAAAAAAGCTGGACAGAAGATGGCATGATAAAGATTAAAACCGACAAACACCTAATACTGTCATGAATTGCTACACACCAAACTATTTAGAATCCATATGAAAGAAAGAAAAAGAAAACATGAAAGGTAACTCAAATAAACCAGTAGATTAATTTCTCTCAGCTAATAACAAGCAGGAGAAATAATGACAGTGAATATCTGAAATACACAATAATGTTTCTCTAGCAGACAAATTTCAAAATTATGATCTCTGAACAAAATATTACATAATATATTTTCAAAATCTAGGCACATAATGATGTGCACAGATACCAGCTAGTATGTATTGAGTGTTGGTGCCAGACAGCCATCGTGCTGATGAAATAGGCAGTGATTTCTTTTTCCATAAACACAAGCTAAAATTGTAGTATTTTAAGGCTATTTTGCATATGAAGAACCCAAAATTTAGAGAATGTAAGTAACTTGTCTCAAAGTTAACATATAGGACAAAGAAGACTTTAATAAAATCTATAAAGCAGAAATAACACAGACCACACAGATACTGGTAACAAATAAAATTTAAATTATATTCAAGACTATAAAACAATATTTGAAATTTAAAAACTACTCAGGTCCAAGAATAAATTAAAAGTTGCAAAATATTAGACAATAATAGTATTTCCTTCAATTACACATAGGATACAGGTAAAATATTATTTAGAGGGAAAGTTTGTATTCATATATGCTTCCATTCCTAAACAAGAAAAGTTGAGAACAAAATTATTGAGTTTTGAATTCAAAACAATTAGAATAGCAACAATTTAAAAAACTAAGGAAAGCAAAAATAAGAATGCAATAAAGATAAAAGCAATGATACTATGACATCCTGGAAAAAATGCAAAACAGAAATCAGATCAGTGGTTGCCAGGGGTTGAAGGGAAAGGGAGGGTGGTGGAAATATTCTGTATCTTGATTGTGGTGACTACATGACTGAGTATGTTTTTCCTAAACTTATCAAACTGTATATATGAGAAGGGTGAATTTTACTGTACTATACCTCTATAAGCCTACATTTTAAAAGTTAAGTGACTTGAAAGAGCTCATACTGTCCTTTCTGTAAATATGTTTAAATGAATAATATTCTGATAAGAATCCAATAATCAAAATTGACTCAGGAAGATGTAGAAAATCCAACTTTATTCAATAGACATCATCCTGTGAAATTAGCCAAAAAGGAAACTGACTTCTTAGCCCACATGCAACACATATTTGACTGCAATTGACTAGAATGGTAAAATGGTTCAGATCTTCCTCACCATGCTGACTAGTGAAAATTCCATGAGTCGTGCTCCTAAAATTTCCTTGCATGAGAAAACCCTAACGACATTTAATTTATCTACATTTAGTTATTGTCTGATTGTAATAAAGGCTTGCTGGTATTTGAAAATGTTAACACTTCAGTTCCTTTAACAGAAAAATATTAGAGAATGACATCTAGTGCAGATCTCACTTTAGACATGATGAAACAAAAGCCTAGTTTAGATGACTAGTTTATGCGTAAGTTAAATGCCTAATGGGAATGCCTGAATTAAAAGTCTAGTTTAAAAGACGCTATACAGAACTGATTCACAGCAGCTGATAAAAGAACCTTGGTTCAATAATATCACCAAATCATTGCTATCTCCTCTCCAGCTACAAACCATAAGGGGAGTGGGGGGAGTCGGGGGAGCGTGAGAAAGGGTCACAAGATAGGCATAGCCAACTCCACTGTCCCTGAGGGCTGACTCATGAAGCCAACTCTCTCCTTTGTGCAGGAAAGTGTCGTTCAAACATTTAGGAGGGGGCTGATGCCTGCAAACATCATTTCACATCACCAACAGATACCTGGCTCATCTCCTCAATCCTCTGCCCCTTCATACCATGGAAAAGAAGAAGAAGCCATCTCAGAGACAGAAACCAAGACATTGAGATGAAATGATTAAAAAAGAGCTTAGTGCAAGAATACGAAAAGCCTACAGTTAACCAACAAGGCAGGGTGTTTCTGTTCATCTAAGCTGAGGCAAGATATCAACATCTAGATATCTACCATTTTTCCACTCCATTTTTTTTCTTTTTTCCATTGAGTGTCTTGCAAGGGTTGAGCAACAGATATACATTAGCAAGTGAAACAGAAGTGACGTTAAAGTGCGTATGGTCTATGAAGGAAGTGGACTATAAAGAGCTCAAACGACATATAGAGTTACAAGTTCAGATAAAGGCCACAGCAAATATAAGTAGGTTCTAGTGCCATAAAACCATGCGGTGCAGAAGCAAAGTTCCTCCATAATCTTTCAGAGAAGGGCATGAGGGCCAGCATCTCCAGGAGGAGACGTTATCAATCAGTCCAAATGCAAATATGGAATTTTTTTTTAATTGTGCAGTAAAAGACCAGCTTGTAGAAATGCCCTAAAGTGAGGCTGAGTTTGGTGGCTTAAAGAACATCAAATAAAAGGAGAATGCATGTAAGATAGTGGGTGAAGGTAGAGAGTGAGGAACCAGATGGGAGAGATGCAGAATCCAATCCTTATGGAACTGTAGGCCCTGGTGAAGAGTTTGCATTTTATTCTGAATGCAATGAAGAATGACTGAATGGTCTCGGGCAAGGAAAAGGCATAATGAGACATGTTTTCCAAAGATTATTCTGGCTACTTGTAAGGAAAAGGTGGGAAATATGGCCACCACATATAACCAACCAAAACCAAACATCCTTTATTCTATCTTTATGTTTCTACACTCACATTATATAATCAATAGAAACAAAACACGTGGCTAATACCCTGTCTTTCTTATTTAGACAGAGTCAATGTCTAACCTGCTGCCAAGTCATGCAGGTAATCACCAAAGAACTCTATTATAGCGGCCCTAAGGGGTGTTAGTTCTAGTGGGGCAGAGACTCTGGAAGTAATCTCAATGAAAAAACAAAACAAAACAAAACAAAAAAACTCTGAGATGCTCTGTTCTTACCGTTTTCTTTCCTCATCTGGGTTTCCTTTCTTGGGCTTCTTTTGATTCTCTCCCAGGCAACTATATGGAAACACATAAGAAAAAAGAGAGATTGTTACTGCCCTCCACATTTTTTCACCTTCTTCTCTAACTTTCTAGACCATTAAAACCAAACCTGACTTTTCTTTTTGACAAACTTCCCTTTCCTTCAAAATCAATAAGCAGTCACAGATAGAATGCATTTCAGAAATTAACCACAGAGACCAGGACTCTGATGGGACAGAATGCCCATAGTCTGACTTTTGATTCTGTCAGTCTTAGGATTTCTTGTGACCCAACATGCAAACTTCCTGCATCTCTAGAAGAGGTGAGAGCTCCCAGGAAGCTATAAAGACCTTAACAACAGGGAAGCATCACTTTTGCAACAACCTGAGGCAAGATGATCTGCTTGTACACACCTTTGTGGACTATGAGGACTGCCAGTCTTGGCCCACTGAACCAGAGCAAGCGTCTCTGGGCCCTGCTGCATGTGGGCATCCATGTGCAGATAAGACATTGGGATCTTTACATACATTCAGGAAAGCTGACTTTTTCATATTACTCTTGGTGTTTTGCCATCAATTATCATCATCTTTATGATAATCAGGCAAACACTAAATGACGAAGTTAGAGAAATCAGGTGATTTGCGTGGTTAACACAATAGTTAGCAGCTTATGTTTGTGACTTGGTTAATCAAACTTTCTACTCCACCAGTTGTCCACACATAGCATTTCCTTGATGGTTTTCTTTTCCTCTATTGTCACTTCTGCAGCACTGGTCTATCCTTCTGCTTCTAGGTAGCTTTGCATATAAGAGCCTCACTTCTGCTTACCAGCAGTATTCGGGGAAAGCATTTCGAACCAACGCTGAGAAAGTGCCTTCCCTGAATAGAGGTCATATGTATATGTTCAAGAAACATTGCTAGATATCAACACACAAAGCCACTAAGCAAAGAATATATTTGTTAAATATAAAGGAATATCAATTTACAGAGGTGGGGGCTTTTTATAGAATCAGTTGCTGATGTAGAGATTTTGTATAATAGTCACGATCACAGTCAAATCTGGATGTAATGTTTATTTAATAGTGTAGATTGTAAATCAGGTAAAAAGTAATTTAACTGTCTCCTTTTTTCCCCTTTTCCTGGAGTCTAGTTTTCTCACGATTCCATCTTCCTAAACTGGTCAATAAAGAAAGAATTTGGTAAAATAATTGTCCTTGGGGTTATTAGTGATTCATTGACTTACACATCTAAAGGATGTTTGTATTTTAAAGTTGAAAACAAGACAGGAAAAGTATTTAACATCAGTAGGGACCTAATTGGAATTCCACACCATTAATATTACTGAATATAACTGGATACTAAATTCTACTGTGAATAAAGTAAAAAGTGTTTTTCTTAATCCAGAGGAATTCAGATAATATCAGGCCATAGGTGATGTACAAAAATTTGTTGACCAAATTAATAAATCAACTAATACTCTATTGTTTTCAAAAATAGGTATTTTATTAAGCTTTAGATGTATCTTGGCCAAAGAATTAAGATTATGAATAATTTTTTATACCTTCTGTGTTTTTTCTTCTTATTTTTAAACTTTCTAAATGTTGGATGTTGACTTATGACTTCATAACTCTACAAAGAAAGTCTTAGTAAACATCCCCCAAAATCAACAATTTGCACATGATTTCTCCAACTATCAAGCAGTAAAATTAAAACCCAATAAGCTATAACCAAAAGTGTACCTGTCTAGGCACAAGTAATATTCTAAATAATCCTTATGTTAAAGAGGGAATCATAAAGGAACTTTCTAAAAACACAGAATAAAATAATAATGCAAGCTACACAAGACTATTTGAAGGATAAAGTGAAGTGTGAAGAAAATAGCTTGCTAAAATACATTCATAAGAAAACATAAATGACTAATAATGACAAAGTAAGCATTTATCTTAAGAAGTTGGGAGAAGAAAAAGGAAACAAGAAAGTTGTGGGTAAAAATAAATATGATAGGGAACCAAATCTTAGAAAAGAATAATATCAGTAAGATAGCAAAAGTCTGGAAAGACCAACTAAAGAAATAAGGAATGGAGACAAAAATATAATGAAAACAGAAAGTTCAAAATAAGTATTACAGACATAAAACAGGCATGATGAAGAATTATGTATAATAAACATTATGGCTTAAAATGAATAATATCTTGGAAAAAATGAAATATAAAAACTGACACATGAATAACATCAATAACAAAAAAATCCAGCTTACACAGCTGCGTACACAATTTACCAAACTTCAAGTGACAAATATACTCTCTCATATATAAGATGTTCCAGAAAGTAGAGAAATGTAAAATGATGCCAACCCATTTAATGAGATTGGTAAACTTTCATTTCAAATTAAATAAATCAAATTTTTAAAAATCACAGGTCCAACTCGATCATGAAAATAGATGCAATAATCCTCAATAAAATATAAGTTAACTAAATCTAAAACTATAGTAAAATTGCACACATCACAATCAAATGGGTTTTATCCCAGAAATTAAAAGATAGGTAATTAGCAAAAATATTTATTAACATAATTAACTACTTTAGAAGCCTAAGAGAAGAATCATGAGGTTATCTCAATAGTTTAAAACTGCATTTGATAATGTTTGGTCCTTATTAACAATAAAAACCCTCAGAAGAGCTGGGTGCAGTGGTGCAGGCCTGTAATCCCAGCTCCTTGGGAGGCTGAGGCAGGAAGATCACTTGAGGCCAGGAGTTCAAAGCTGTAGTGCACTCTGATTGCATCTGTGAATAGCCACTGCACTCCAGACCGGGCAACATAGTGAAATCTCATCTCTACATATTTTTTTAAAAAGTAGAATCTCCTTATTTTGATAGAGGCAATATGCCAAAAACATAAATGCCAAATATAAATGTCAAAAATATACAGCAACCTTGATGAAAACAATTTAGAAAAAAATTATTATGATCAGTTACAAGAAAATGATGCCTAAGAATTCTGACATAACTATGCTATAAAACATGATAAAGGTACCTATAAGACTTGTAAGGAACAAAAAAAGAATAGAAAAATCTTTAACTTTATAGATGATATATTAACTATGTAAACCCAGTAGGATTAAAAAACCATGAAAAAAAATGAGAAATTCAACAAGGCTAGTGGATACAAAGTCATCTTGCAAAATTCAATAGCATTCCAACAATAACAGGCTAGGAAAAAATGTCATTCATAGATTTATTACTGTTGCATATGGTATCTAGAAATCTATCTAACAAAGAATAAAATAAAAACAAAAAATTAAAGCTCTATCAGAATGCATTAAAGAAGATTTGAATAAAGATAATTATAAATAATTGTTTTGATTGGTGTATTAATAGTATATCTGCATAGACCAGGCGCAGTGGCTCACGCCTGTAATCCCAGCACTTTAGGAGGCCGAGGCAGGTAGATCACAAGGTCAGGAGTTCAAGACCAGCCTGGCCAATATGGTGAAACCCCGTCTCCACTAAAAATACAAAACTTAGACGGGCATGGTGGTGCGTGCCTGTAGTCCCAGCTACTCGGTAGGCTGAGGCAGAAGAATCGCTTGAACCTGGAAGGTGGAGGTTGCAGTGAGCCGAGATCATGCCACTGCCCTCCAGCCTGGGTGACAGAGCAAGACTCCATCTCAAAATATATATACATATAGTACATCTGCATAAACATAGAAGAATTTGCAAATAGATCTCTATATTCACAATGTTGTCTGAATCCAAATTCAAGCTGGCACTTTTTATATAATACACAAATTCAGAATTTGTGTACAAATTTATATGGGAGGATAAAGTCTTCAAAGAACTAAATCAATTTTGAAATAAAGACTAAAGAGGGTATGTGATGGACACTGCCCATGGGCGATGTCTACATTTACTTCACCCTCTTGCTAGTCAGGGGCTAGAAAGCAGCAGCTACCTTCCCCAGACTCATCTGCAGCCAATTATCAGGCTGCAAATTAGGCACTGCCCAAGGTAACAGGCCTCTGACAAGCAGGGTCAGAGCAACAGGAGGCTCTCTGCATCCGTGTTCTAGAGGCCATTCTCCAGCCTTCTCTCACACCACATCTGTGATCCCAATGACTGACACACACCAAGGTGACTCCTTGGGAATGCATTTACTTTCACTGAATTTCCTCTTCATTTTGGTTGTTCCTGATGAATTTCAGCTCTTTACCATCTCTTTGTTGGGGCTCAGAAAATGATACTCCAAAATAAAAGCCTCAGAAGCAGCTCTCTTTCTCCTGCCCTCCTCTCTGTGACAACTCTTTCCTACCCAGGGCTAGCCATAGAAATTAGAATCCCTCTTCCCCAAGGTGATTGATAGAAACCAGAACCTCTTTTCCCCAAAGCCAGCCATAAAATTAGTAAGATGACTCTAACTTTCCCTGTATCTTTCTGTGTAAGAACCAGCCATAAAGACATTATCTGACCTACTTTGTCTGACTGTAGGTCATAAGCCCCCATTCCAGAGAGTGTTCTGCCCCATACTCATAAGTAAGGAATGCTGTACAGAGAGGTCGAGAAGAATCTAAACAGACAGAACAAGACTTGCTGGGATTTTCCACTCTGTCTATTAGCATTAGGTCATATCCTTTTTGTCCAATCATATTTCCACATGGCTATCCAAAATTTGTTGAACCTAAGCATAGAAATGGACAGTTTCCTTTGCATCTTTGGGTCTTCATTCTGAGGTTCCTGTGTCACATAAAACGATGATCAATAAATTTGCCTTTTGTCCTATTAATCTGCCTTTTCTCAGCTGATTTCAGAGAACCTTCAGGGAGCAAAGGGGAAGTTTTCCTTTTGCCCCTGCATCTTCTTTGGTATATTTTAAGAGCTTATTGTCTATTTCTCTCTGTGTCATTCCTCCATACTCACTGAGCATAGACATTTCTTCCTAAAATACATGCCACATTGCATTTTTCTCCAGCTTATAAATGTTCACTGCTTACCACTTTCTACGTGCCTTTGAAGGCCCTTCATTATCAGACCCCCAGCTTCATTCTCAACTTCTTCTGCTACTGGAGTCATCTCTGAACAATATGCTCCAATTATTGACAGTAATACCATACACTTGAAACTCATACATTTTCACAGGTTGTCCCTTCAGCTTGGACCATCTTTTCCTGCTTTGTAAGTCTGCCTAACATTTACAGCACAATCCAAATGGCAATTCCTCAAGCATGTCCTTCCTTCCTGCTATCCCAAACCAGAATTCCCTTCCTTCCTTCCTTTTATTTCTACAGTGCGCTGTTTGTGCTTCTGCCTAGAACACATTAGCACCTGCCTTATCTTAAAAAGAAGCCATTGTGGTGTAATGGAAATGACGGATGACTTGACATCATAAATTACATGTAAGATTCATAATTTTATAGCAAAGGCAACCTTGACAAGTTTTAATTCTCTCTCAATTTTAATTATCTGAGCCACGTAATGTCTATTTTTTTAAAGCTGAGTCAGAGTGATTAAGTACGATGTTCTCTGAAGGGGCCTATCCATTTTTAAAATTTGCTTCCATATCCATTTTCCTTCCATGTTTAATTTTTTCTTGCGACCAAGACCATTGTCTTACCTAGGCTTTCCATAAATATTGCTTAACTTTAAAAGAAGGGAAACATTTTTTCTTTAGGGTAAATAATTGAATTTACCTCTCAGCACAATTGTGTCATTTGTCCTCCATCTACTGCCCAGACTCATGCTCATCCTGAACTTTGATGGCCCTTCTCCATCCATGAACCCTTAAGCATTTTTTTTTGTTTGTTTGTTTATTTGAGACAGAGTCTTGCTCTGTCGCCCAGGCTGGAGTGCAGTGGCGGGATCTCGGCTCACTGCAAGCTCCGCCTCCCGGGTTCACGCCATTCTCCTGCCCCAGCCTGCCGAGTAGCTGGGATTACAGGTGCCCACCACCACGCCCGGCTAATTGTTTGTATTTTTAGTAGAGACGGAGTTTCACCGTGTTAGCCAGAATGGTCTCGATCTCCTGACCTCGTGATCCACCCGCCTCGGCCTCCCAAAGTGCTGGGATTACAGACATGAGCCACCGTGCCCAGCCACCCTTAAGCTCTTTAACAAATAGCAATTTACTGAAAGACTAAATGAAGACATCAAGGGACAGCTGAACTATTTAACCTGGTGAAAGGAGACGGTATGAACCATCAGGTGTGGGGAAGCCAATCTGCTGCCTCATAAAGACAGCTTCTCTGACCTACTTTGTTTGACTGTAGGTCATAAGCCCCCATTCCAGAGAGTCCTCTGCCCCATACCCGTAAGTAAGGAACGCTGCACAGAGAGGTCAAGAAGAATCTAAACAGACAGAACAAGACTTGCTGGGATTTTCCACTCCGTCTATTAGCGTTAGGTCATACCCTTTTTGTCCAGTCATATTTCTACATGGTACCCACTGGAGCACAGGAGCGATATGATGAGAGTTTTGCCTTGGGTCTATCAATGTAGTCACGTCATATGCAAGATTGTCTGGAAGGGGACTGGGAGAGCGGACAGAGGAGTGGGATGCTGTAGAGCCCATCATTTAAGATTAAGCAAGATGTAAGAACAATAATGCCTGTTATCTGTACACATTCTATAAATTATGAAGTATTGGAAGAGTGTAAGGCTAAACATTACCAAAAAAGGTGTGACTAAAGTCAAAGGCATTCAAATGCATATCCCGCATCCATAATTTGCAAGGACCTAACTGTTCATTCTCATACCAACCCACGAAGCTGATGGATGGAAAGTTAAGCTCTACACCCACATGAAGAAAAAGAGAAGCAGGAAAATTCAAGTGACAATTGTGTAGGGTTGCCAGATGAAATACAAGATGCACTGCTAAATTTGAATTTCAGATAAACAATGAATAACTTTTTAGTAAAGTACAACCCATGTTATAATGCCCAAAATATTATATGAGGCACATTCATACTAAAAAAAAAAATGTTTTTCTGGAATTTGAATGTGACTTAGCATCCAGTATTTTTGTTTTCTACATCTGGCAACCTATCATTGTTCCAGAGTAAGGCAAGAGAAGGAGCCAACTGGGCGTCACTGTGTGCTCCTAGAGGATGCTGTCTTCAGGCTTAACCTTCTAGAAGCACAATGTACCTCACCATTACAAATGCGTTATGTCCAGCCTCCTTATCTCTGTTCTCTTTCTCCCAAGAAAGGCGGCACCAAGAGTCAAGACTCACCTGAGTTTTCGCAGGAGATAATTTCCCATCTTTTCACAGTGACTCGGTTTCTCAGCTCCTGAGTTTCACTCCACTTGGGGAAGTTCTGACCAAAGCACCAAGAGGAAAATGCATGAGGCAGGACGTTGCATCTGACCACGGGTTCGTGCTCTTGCCAACCACGAGCTGCCAGGGGCCTGCGCATGATAGAGAAGGCAGGAAGAGCTCGAAAGGGGAGGCAGAAAGGAAAATGTGAGTGTGCGTGTGTGTGCCTGCACGCACACACACACACTCATACACACACGCGTGGGCATACAGTGGGAAAAAATCAGGCTGAAACATGAAAGTGAATCTATCACTCCAGGTTCACTTTGCTTTCAAGGAAATTCTAGTATTGCAAGACGAAACAAGGTAAGGACTTCCCTATTCCTCCGAAGTGAGCATAATAATAAGATTACACAATGCAATAAGAGAGTTGCATTTTTGCTGGAATAAAAGTGATTAATCTGGATTCATGATTTCTTAGGCAAACTGCTCATTACAGAGATCTGAGATCTCAAGATTCCAAATATGTTGTCCTCTTCCAAACATACAAAGAGAAAGCCTCTTCTTGGGGAAAAGAAAAAAACAACGTTAGAAATAAAATTTCTCTTTGTGGCTCTAGCAACGATAATCAGATCAAATGTCAATAGCCTTTCCTCAGAGGTCTGATACTTTCAAAGACAAGATGGGAAAGAAAAAGGAAAAAAAAGGATGAGAATAGAAGGTTATCAAAATTATTTGGGGTAGGTTAAGAAGCCATTGTTCTGGTTGTCAGCTCAAAGACTAACATGACAATGGGGAAAATGCAGGGCCTGGAAGACCTGTTGCCAGCATCTGGTCCCCCACTTCCTCCCCTAGGCTGCCCACCAGAGCCACAAAGCACAAGCTGGTTCTAGTGATAATTTCGAGGCCACAATATCAGCGGCAGGAGATCAGCTAACAGCTGACTCTGAGCCGTGGCTGTCAGGAGACTGAAATCGCTTATTCATGATGTCTCCTGCCGAAGGATTTATACCACAGGTGGTTGATTTTCTTCAGCTTCCAACCAACACAAAATCTATTTGCTGAAATCAGAAACTATATGCTCACCTATTCCAACTCTTTTTTTCTCCCAATGAGGAAATCAGGACTGAGGAAGTTTAATTGACTGTTAACCAGCAGCAGAACTCAGGAGTCTGGAGTGCTTTATCATTATTTATAAGTTTTGTATTGTTTATTTATCGATTATAAACATGAGAAAAATATATTACAAGCAGGAATGTCACACACCCCATTTCAGATTTATGATTTATCTAATTCGTATGTGACAACCTATGTACCAAAGTGCTGCTTCCCAAACTTTCTCATGTAAGCAAATCACCCGAGGATCCTGTTAAAATGCAGATTCTGACTCTTTCAAACTGGGATCAATATTTTGCCTTTCTAACAAGTTCCCAGGTGAT